>NC_000012.12:70338915-70490431 GCF_000001405.40 Homo sapiens
ACTCATTGTTAACCTGCTGATTCTCTGGGTCATTCCCATTCATGTTAGCTCTTAGATCACTGTCACTCTGCAGTATTCCTTTTATAATTTGGCATTTTATGTGTGTGTGTGTGTGTGTGTGTGTGTGTGTGTGTGCATGTGCATGTATATATGTGTGTGTGTATATATATATATATACACACACACACACACACACACCTTCCAGAATCCTGAAATCTCAGCTCCTTGAATTTCTTTCCTCCAGGAATTTTTGTCCTGTAGTATACTTCAGCCACTCCTTTAGTTATCCCTTTGACCTAGTCATTGTTCGTAACTGCAGTCTCTCAATTTTAAAATCTGAGCTCGCATGCTTTCCGACTTCCACTTTCTATTTTCTATTTCTCTTCTTCTAGTACTGTGATTCCTGTAATCATTTCACTCCATTGGGACCTTCAATCTATTGATTCTTCGGTATTTTAACTGTTCTTCCAGATCCCCGTCTCTTTTCCCCTGTGATCAACTCCCTTCTTACCCATGAAATTCTGTGGTCAGTCATAATTGTTCATTTACATATCCCATGACTACTTGCCATTTTCTCATGTTGTTATACTTGCATGGCCAAAGCTACAGTACTGATTGTTTCTGCCTATTTCATTCCTGACCTGTGCTACTGAGCTCTGCTAGAGAAAAACACATGATATCACTGCCTGGTCTTCCTTTATTTTCATGCCCAGGAGCCTCAAAAGTAGGCTCTTAATTCTACCAGTGATAATTATACCTTGCATGCTTAGTCCATTTACTCTTTTGCTCTCTTATGCAACTATCGTACACTTCTGCATGCCCCTAATACCTTTTCTCCTTATTCTTACTATCAAATGATGATCTTGCTTTTCACTTTTACTGTACTAAGAAAGATGGAAGCAATTAGAAGAGCACATTTAGCACAGTCTAGCCAACAAATCTGACTACCTACAGCCACCTACACCTATGTTATTCTTGTTTTCCACCCTATTACCATAATTGACCCATGCGTTCTACTTACAACACATTTTCACACTTTGTTGGGTCATTTTCATCAACATAGAAATACATTGTTACTTCTCTCATCTTAGAAGAAAATCTTCCTTTGATCCAACCTCCTCCGTAAGTTACTTTCCCATTTCTTTATTTCCCTTTGAAGCGAAACTTTTCAAAGAGTCATCTCCATTTCTCCGACTTGGTCTTCTCCCATTCTCTGGTAAGCCCATTTCAGTCAGGATTTTGTCCCTGCCACTTCACTAAAGCTGCTTTTATCAAGGTCACCAAATGACCTTCATGTTATTAAATTCAGTGGTCACTTGGAGGAACTCTTGCTCCTTGATACACATTCTTGTACTTGAATTTGAGAGCACCATTTTTACCTCATCTTCACTGGTTGGTCTTTTTCAGTTTCCTTTGCTGGTACCTCCTCCTTTTCTTCTTGACCTCAGTGTCATTCCTCTTCTCTGCATTTACATCCTTGATGATCTTTTTCTAGTCTTATTGTTTTAAATACCATATATATTGAGGAATCCCAAACATATGTTTCCATTCCACACTTCTGAGTTTGAGATTTCTACATTCAATTGCCAATTAAATATTTCTTGAATGATCACCCCCCAACTTATTCTGTCTACAGCCTTTCCAATCTCAGTTAGTGGTAACTCTGTACTTCCAGAAACTTGGCATTATTCTTAACTCCTCTTTCTTTTATACCCCATAATCAGGCTTTTCCCAAAATATATACAGAATCTAACCAAAGCTCACTACTTTTAACTGCTACCACCCTTGTTTGAATCATTCTCTCTTGCCTGAATACTCCATTAGCCAGTCACTGGGGGTCCCTGATTGTCCTTATACCCCTTCCCGTACAATCTCTTCATATAACAGCCAAGACAATCCTTTTTTAATACATTACTCCTCTGCTCAACACCCAGTAAATGTTTGTGGTTTCATTATGATTAAAAACCCCAAATCTTTTTTTTTTTTTTTTTTTTTTTGAGACAGAGTATTGCTCTTGTCGCCCAGGCTGGAGTGCAGTGATGCAATCTCGGGTCATTACAACCTCCACCTCCCAGGTCCAAGCGATTCTCCTGAGTAGCTGGGATTGCAGGCATGTGCCACCATGCCCAGCTAATTTTTGTATTTTTAGTAGAGACGGGATTTCACCATGTTGGCCAGGCTGGTCTCTTAACTCCTCACTTTTCAAGTGGTCTGCCCACCTTGGCCTTCCAGAGTATTGGAATTATAGGTGTGAGCCACCGCGCTTGACCAGAAACCCCAAATCTTCACAGGCCTGCAAGGTCTTACATGATTATTGTTTGTCCCCTAACCCCACCTCAACAGCTTTTCCCTTTGTTCACTGTATTCCAGCTTCACTGGCCACCTTGTTATATCTCAGGCATGTCAGTCATGTCCCTGCCTTAGTTGCTCTAGGAGTTCCCTCAGACTAGAAGAGTCTTCTGCCAGATAATTAATATGACTATGTCCCTTATAGCCTTCAAATCTTCAGATCTGACCACCTTAATGAAACCTAACTGACCACCCTATTTAATAATTATGCATCCAGTCTCCCCTCCCAGTTCCCCTCTAACATGGGCCATTGTTTATTTATTTATTCTGTTAATTGATTTTGTCTGTCCCCCTCCAATCCACCATCCTCAACCAGAAAGTAAGTTTCATGTTGTCAGTGATCTTGTTTTGCTCACTGATGTGTCGTAAGCTCCTAGAACAGTGCCAGGCATATAATAGGCACTCAGTAAATATTTGATGAATTTAAACTTTTGCAAATAGTTACTCAGTTTTCTTCTTGCCACACAAATAAATGGGAAATTTATTTAAAATTTATTTAAAATTTAATTTATATTGGGAGCATGGTATTGAAGAATTTAAAGCATCTTGAGTTGAAATCAAGTAAAAGTAGAAAATTTTTAATCATGTTTTGTATATTGTGATATGTTGTGTTATTTATACTGTATTGCAAGAATACTGAGGGAAGGAGTCCTATCATATTTTACAGACACACACACAAACACACACAGTCTTCATTTGCTTCTGTATAAGTCAGTAAACCCAAGTAAGGGAATTAGAAGTAAAGATGGTCATTTTACAGTTGGAGTCTTTGTTTTTCCTGAAATAAAATTAGAAATCTCTTTTTCTGGATTTCAAAATGTTTTCTTTTCCTCCTTATTCAGAAATCTCTACCCCAAATTTGCGTCACCCTGGGCATCTTCACCTTGTCGACCTCAAGACATAGGTAGGAGAATCTATTTGTGTTTAGACCTTTTAAAAAGAAATTTACAATTGAGAATCAGTTAATAAGGCTTTTTTCATTTTATTATCCAGACTTCCATGTTCCATCTGAGTACTTAACGAACATTCACATTAGGGATAAGGTGAGTGTAGTTTATTATTCTACTCAGTCAGCATGAATTTATCTATTTTTCACATGTTTTTCAGTTCAGGCAGCATACTATTTTTGAAATAATTAGTAATGGTCTCAGGGATATGCTTTCATATGTCCATGTTAACTTGTTAAATGGTAAATGTTAGGACTGGTAAAAAATAAAAATTCTTACATTTAACAACAGGTTACAACCATAACCGCAGTTGATGAGAATAAACTAGATTGGAACATTTGATAAATATCCTTCTGATAATCTTATTTTATGACCTTACCAGTAAAAAGATTTTCGTTACAAGTATTACAGATACAGTGTTTTTAATGAGATGGTCTGTATCTTTAAAAACTATTTATGACCTTTGACTTTTCTCTGTATTTTTTCATTTCCATTTTTTTAAATCACCTAAAATTCTAATTCTAAAGTAGTTATTAACAACAGATTACAGCTTAATCTCTCTTTTTTCAATCTAAGAAAGAAAATGGTGGCACTTTTTGCTTTAGAAGAACTGAGAGTTTGTTTCTATTACCAAAAAATATTCACAATGGTACCTAAATTTTAGCCTTGGGAAACTACAATTTAGTGAAAAAATATATTTTTGTTATATATTTGTGTATAAATATCTATGTGTATGTGTATATATACAACAGCATTCTGAGTGTGCCTTACAGTTCTGTGGTCAAGTGGATGTTGATGTGGACAGGCAAGTAAAGGGATACCTTTCTCAATGTCTTCTAATACTTGAGTAGATAAAAGGCAAGAAATACAAGATGGAGAGGTCTCCTATTTTCTATTTGCGGATTGTGTGATTTGCTCCCACCACCACTGTAGAGCTCTTTCGCTCCAATTACCAAAGTGTTCCAGAACCTTTTCTTATTACCAATTTGAGAAATACTAATTTAGGAGAATTTGTCACATTGGGGCTGCTGCCTGAATAGGGATAACATGAATGGAGAGAAAAATTACATTCAGAGAATGTGTAATAACCAAATAAGTATTTCGATATAGGATCAAATAACGAGATAAAAATGTTGTTTTGGGACACTTTTAAGGTTTATTTAAATGTGAAAATTTGAGACTATTGAACCTATGTTTTACAGTTTGGTAAGCAGTTATGTTTCTACCTTGGGGAGAGAAATGTAAAGCAATCATCTTTCAGACATCTATTTAAACAAACTGAAAAGCCATTTCTTTATGATTTTTGTATTCATCATCTGTGATTTGCTGAAAGCATACAACTGACTTGTGAATCATTCACTGTCAGATATAGATTCAGTTTAACATTTTTTATAAGCCGTCTATATATTTGGCACTCTACAAGGTGCTTTCATATACCTTCACTCATTTTATTTACTTTCTTAGTAACCCTCATAGGTGTCATTGTCCACATTTGACAAGTAAAGCTAAGAGATTTTAAATAACTAGGACACAGTCATATTAATGAGTAATAAAACCAGGACTTGAATACAAGTCCTAGATCTCTGAGCACAATGCTATTGTTAGGTTCTTTTCCCCATTGGGTATTAAATCCTTTTAGTGGATCTTGCTTGGAAGTCTTTATTGAGCTTTTCTTCCAGTCAGCATATCAATTAGATGTATCAGAAATAATTGTTTAAATGACTTCAGTCATTTAAATGAGGAAATTCCCTTTTAGAATCTTAACTACCTATCTGTGTAATCATGTAATAACAGTTATCTACTACAAAGTGGGGAGTTTCTGTTTATCTCTCCATTTTTTCTTTAGTAGTAGCAACTATATATTAGGATTTGCAGATTTGTTTTATATTTCAGAATAAGTTATTTTTCTTTTTCAGCTGGCTGCAATAAAACTTGGCCGATATGGTGAAGACCTTCTCTTCTATCTCTATTACATGAATGGAGGAGACGTATTACAACTTTTAGCTGCAGTGGAGCTGTATGTTCAAAGTATTTTAATCACTTTTGTATTATAGTGGATCTTGACTATGCTGAAAACATCTTTAAGTGATGATGGCTATCTTTAAATGGAACTATTTCTCCATCAAGAAATTTATTTTTACATTATTAAAGTGAATTTAATTTAGATTAAAACCGTATCTTAACCATGGCTTCATAATCTATATACCTAAAAAGAATTTCAAACTTAATGCTGAAGCTGGGTGCAGTGGCTCACACTTGTAATCCCAGCACTTTGGTGAGGTGGACAGATCACTTGAGGCCAGAAGTTAGGGACAGCCTGGGCAACACAGCAAACCACATTTCTACAAAAAATAAAGGAAAATATTAGCTAGGTGTGGTGGCACACATCTATATAGTCCTAGCTACTTGGGAGGCTACAGCAGGAGGATCGCTTGAGCCCAGGAGTTTGAGGTGTCAGTGAGCTATGATTGTGCCATTGCACTCTAGTGTGGCTGACAGTGCAAGACCCTGTCTCTAAAAATAACTAATAAGTGCCAAATTTGTAAGAAGACAGAATTGACATAACTCATGGATTTGGTGAATCTAATTTTTGTAAATATGTGAATTATATGATATTCATGACTATGTTTTTTATTCCTTGTGGAACCATATGTATAAATAATTCGATACTGAATTTAATCATTTCATAAACATTATTACTTATAAGCAAGGCAGTGTGCATATTTGTTGTACGTTTTGAAGTGCTGATTAAAGTCCACATTTTCATTATCAGCAGTCTATTGGCCAGTTTAAACAAATATTAATGTAAAGAAATTGGTTCATTGATATTTTTTCCCTGAGCAGTTCTGTATTTACCTGATGCTCTAAAATTAAGTTTTCTGTCGTTACTCAAATGTACAGTTGGCAACACATTTTGTTATCAATAGACAATTATGTTTACTATAGAGTAAACTATTAGTAATTATTTATGACCTTATGATTGGGAGACCTTTTCACAAATTTAAGTATTTCATAACATTTCTAATAACATTTCTATAAATGGCTTTGGATCAAATAGTTTAAAGTATATAATTCAGTATGTTGATAATGAATTGTTTCGTTTCATTTCACAACTGAGAGGATTTTTCCCTTATGTTTTTCCTTCATTTTTGTGAGAATAGAGATTATTACCTGTTGTTCCTTTTAATTGTTCATAAGTAAATAAATACATTCAGGCACTCATTCATCTATCACTGGCAGTTCTGTTTTCATATTTTATTTATGTCTTAAAAACTACCTCATGACGTTGGTAGGAAAGCATTTCTTTACATGGAGGTTTATTTTGTGGGACATTACCTCCTCTGGATGTTACTTCCTCAGTTTACAAGTAGTGTAAATTCTCATTGATTCTTTTATGAATTGTAATGGATTTTCTCTTAGCTTTTGAGAATTTAGAATCTGAAATTTGAATAAAAAGTAAATATATTCAGTATAATTTTTCAAAATGCTCTAGTTTCAAGATAGTTAAAAAATTATGTGGAATTTACATAATTAATTCAAATATAGTTTGTATTTAGTTCCTTATCAAATAATGCAAATAGTTGGAGATACCTCAATTTCTTTTGAGTGTTAAGAAGAGCAAGAAAGGAGTGAAGTTTTTGCAACACATTGTGTCTTTATTTGGTCTGCCTATGTTTTTATCACATTGCTTATAAAACTTTTAAAATCCTTGTTTGTATAAAAAGTTTCTTTAGTTAAATAAAAGTGTGTGTATTAATTAGTGTGCCTTCTGGACAAATTAAGAAATATTTTTTCTATATTTCAATGCGGTTGTATTTAATAACTTATAATAAATGAGTAGGAAGCATTCATATTTATTTATTTTATGTGTAATTTTTTTTTTCCGGAGGAAAGCTTTACAAAATGTAGAACATGTTTGATGTAAGCCACAGGAAAAAGTTAATTATCTTTTCTTTTAAAAATTGAAGTTTTAACCGTGATTGGAGATACCACAAAGAAGAACGAGTATGGATTACCAGGGCACCAGGCATGGAGCCAACAATGAAAACCAATACCTATGAGAGGGGAACATATTACTTCTTTGACTGTCTTAACTGGAGGAAAGTAGCTAAGGTATATTTCTTTCCATGTGCAAATGTATAAATCTAAACTTGAAAAAAGAAGTGTCCTCTTTTATCTGTTTATAAGTACCAATACATCCAGTTCCAGTAATGTGCCACATATTTGCCAACTGTTTAATTCCATCTCCTTGGCTTGACACTCTTAGAAGAGTGTCCCAAAACAATTGGTTTCACTGATAGTTACATTATTGAATTTGGTAAGAGGTTTTGTAATTTTGCATAAGCCTTGGTAACATTTGAAATATTTTTTGTGTCTACTGCTTTGTAAAATAAAGATACTCTCTTGCAACCCCAGTCATATATTTTTATATTTTTGTAACTTTAAGCAAGGATGAGATTTTTCTAAAAGCAGTATATAAACAGGCTTTTTACACTTGGACTAGTTGCAGGAAATACATCTGAATGTTTATTTGCAAGTAATTTTAAGAAAGAAAATTACAGGCGTTAACTATGACTATTTCTGTGACTATTTTGCTAAATATTGGGGAGAAATCGGCTATGGAGAAATGTTGATTATTTTATTTTGGTTTTGCAACTTTTCCTCACTTAAACGCCTTTCTAACCGTCCCATGTGCAAAATTTTCATCAGTGTCAATGCATATTTCATACCTGCATTTAGTACGTTGTGTTTATTTAGTCTGCCTAGTAGAGAATATATTATTCTCTACATGTGGAGAGAATATATTCTCTCCACTCTATATATTATTCTCCACATTATCTGATTTCACAACTCCATGATTTTTCTGATACATTTTCCATCAATGATTCTGAGGTTTATAATTAAAGAGTTAAATTTGTTTGTTTTAAATAAATTTAAACAGCAGAAAAATGTTTCTGACAGTTCTTTGGACAATTTTTTAGTTGTCAATTTGTTTTTTTGTTTGTTTGTAGTTTTGAATCTGCTTTACTAAAATGATTATTTAAAAAGGTAAAACATTTTAAGAAGACAATGTAAAATGCCTACCAGATATTTATCACAAAAATTTTTACATCCCAAGATTTCATATAAAACTCAAAAAGCCGGGTGCAGTGGCTCACACCTGTAATCCCAGCACTTTGGGAGGCTGAGGTGGGTGGATCATGAGATCAGGAGATCAAGACCATCCTGGGTAACAGAGAAACCCCGTCTCTACTAAAAATACAAAAAAAAATTAGCTGGGCCTGGTGGAGGGTGCCTGTAGTCCCAGCTACTCGGGAGGCTGAGGCAGGAGAATGGCGTGAACCTGGGAGGCGGAGCTTGCAGTGAGCCGAGATCGCGCCACTGCACTCCAGCCTGGGCGACAGAGCGAGACTCCGTCTCAAAAAAAAAAAAACAAAAACAGATGTCCCCTAACAGACAACACCAAATAAGATCCACATAAGAAATTAAATCTTTTTTTTTAGATGTTTCTCAGTGGTAAATGTCTTTACTTCTCAGACCAAGTCCACATACTGTATTTTGTATCTGAATTATTTTAACAGTTCCAATTCATGTGACTATTGTGTTTTCAGAAGGTGTATTTATGAGTTAACCTTCTAGTTAAATAATCACATTAATTAAAAATAGTGCCTGAGCTATTGTATATGTTACCTGCTTTTTAAGATATGTAGTATACAGTAGAAAGCTATAGCCTTTGTATCATGGATTTGAATTTAACTCCTATTGCTGTTATTTATGCTTTGACCTTCTACAATTTTCTTTTTCATGCCTGTTTCCTCTTTTGTAAAATTGAGGTGAGATTTTCCTCTAAGTTTTTATGAAGATTAAATGAGATTTCATATATGTTTATATACACACACACATGCTGATTACAGTGCTTGGCACACGTTGGGTATTTGATACATGGTGGTGGTTGTACTAGTTTACTGCTATTGTTTTTATCATCGTTATTATAGCTACTGTTTTTGCAAGGATGAAAAAATTAGAGCTGATTGTTAATTAGGTTAGGTCATTGGTTCTCAAACTATAGCTTGTATCAGAATTACCTGGAAAACTTGTTAAAACACAAATTTCTGGACCATACCTCCATCATTTATGATTTAGTGAGTCTGTGGGTGGGGCCTGAGAATTGCATTTCTAACAAGCTCCTAAGTGACGGTAGTAATGACATGCTGGTCTTGGTCCAGAACTATATTTAAAGAACCTGTGGATTAGGTGATGCTACAGGAGTCAAAAACATCTTTGGAAGAAGAAAAAAATTTTATTAGGAAAGAACTGAAGTTTTCTCCATTCAATTTGAACATTTTTGCTCAATATTATTGTAAATTATTCCAAACTTACATATGTAAAAAGGGGTGGATATTTTCAGTAAACAGCTACATAATTTTAGTTAAATTTTGTTAGATATATGTATGAAGAAATCAATTTGTGAGAAAATCAGCTTTCCAGAATTAAGTTCTCCTCATGAAGTTAAATATTTAGAAAACAATGTTAACATTAATGTAGGACTCCTTTAATTTCCAGCAAAAGCAATTCCTCAGTCAGGTAAATGTCATTTTAAAGAAAATTGTATCTATTTAAATATGGATTTACATATTTTTTATATATTATATATAAAACATAATTTAGCTCAGTTTTATCTATCGTGTACAGTTGAGCTTTTGTCTTTATCTTTAAATTTTTTAACTGTGATGTGAAAAATGTGAGAAATAATATCATTAAGTTACTCCCTCAGAAATCTCTTTCAAGGTAATAGTTTGTTGGTACCTTGCACTGACACGCTTTAAAATTATTTTCATAGTAATGAAAACAGGCAGAATTGTTGGTATTAAGATATTAATGAGCAGCTCACTCTTGGTTATATTAAAATACAAATTCATGCACTTAAAATTTTGAAGTTGCAGTATATTAACGGGATAAATTTTTCAAAAAATTCTTTAAAGGATGTGTTCAGTGCTTTCCCAGAATATTGATTAGTAATTAAGAAATCTGGGACCTGTTCATAAGTATATTTATTAACAGCCTTCATCAAATTATAGAAAATCCATTAACATGTCATGTCACAAGTTGAGTCCCCATCTGTAAAGTGGGTGTGCCTTACTATTCACAGTTAAAGAACGTATATTAAATAACCTCAATTCACTGTAAGAAGCCTACAGTATGAATTAACATTTTAAATAATAGCTGATATTATGGTGTTCTTGAAAGGTACTGAACTGGTCTACACCATAATCCTGGAGTCCATTCATAATATTTTATGTCCATTCATAATATTTTGTATGAGCATTTTTCCCCAAATCACTTACTATTTTCAGATAATTGTAATATTAAATAAGGGATTAGATAATCTAAACCAGAAGTATTTCTTATCCTCTAAAAATTTTGTGACCCTGAGTTCTAGAATCCAATCCATTATTTATTTACATAATTTCCTGTAAATAATATATACATTAAAATGTTGACATTGGTTGGGCATGGTGGCTCATGCCTGTAATCCTAACACTTTGGGAGAATGAGGCAAGACGATCACTTGAAGCTGGGAGTTTAAGATCAGCCTGGGCAACATAGCAAGACTCTGTCTCTATAGAAAGAGAGAGAGAGAGAAACATAGCCAGGTGTGGTGGTATGCTCCTGCAGTCCTAGCTACTTGGGAGGCTGAGGTAGGAGGATTGCTTGAGCCCAGGAGTTCAAGGTTGCAGTGAGCTGTGATTGCATCACTATACTCCAGCCCAGGTGACAGAGCCAGATCCTATTTTTTTTTTTAATTTAACATTGTATTTTGCTTATTCTTTCCTTTTATATACTCATTAACTTTTTAGCAGGCCATGTTCTCCTGTGTCGTTTTGCTGGAATTACTCATATTTTACTAATTTTAAATTTGCAGCAATTCAGATAGTATATATAATCTTCATGCATTAAATTTTTAAAATAATTTCTTCCACAGTTAATTTTTAGGTGATAGAGGCTGCCTTATTATCAGTAGCTTTCTCAAAGACTTAAAATTTAAGAATTCTTTCGGCCTAATTTGACCTCGTGGATCTATCAGGATTTCTAACAGTTAAGATTTTTTATGTCACAGTCTGATATAAATGTGATTTTTCATTAATTTCACAGTTACATATTAGTACATCCTTATACTTTAGTAATGTGTACTTTTCTTCAAAGATTATTTCTAATAACTGTATTTAAGATAGTTTGCTACTTCCTAAAATTTAAGTTAATATGGATTTATTATACAGGTTGAGCATTCTGATTCAAAAATCTAAAACCTGAATACTCCAAAATCTGTAACTTCTGAATGCCAACATGGTGTCACAAGTGGAAAATTCCATACCTGACACCTTTGCTTTCTGATGGTTCAGTGTACAGTGTAAACAAACCTTATTTTCTGCACAAAATATTAGTAACATTGTATAAAATTACCCTCAGGGTATGTGAATAAGGTATATATAAAACATAAATGAATTTCATGGTTAGACTTGGGTCCCATCCCCAAGATACCTCATTTTATATGTATAAATATTCCAAAATCCAAACACTTCTGTTCCCAGAATAAGCAAAATCTCAGATAAGAGATACTCAACATGTAGGTAAGAGAAAGCTGACATTTCATGAGAATTTGAGAAAACACCTCTGCAGTGTGTGTTTCTCTACATAACTAGATCAGTGATTACATTAATGTTTTTGTAATATTATTTGACTATATGAATCCATTGCATTCAGTTTTGCTTGAATTGAACAAGTAACCTTTGGAGAATACATAGCCTAATTTTATTAATAGAAGAACTAAGGTATGAAAAAGTTGTCTAAAAAGTATTTGGAACTCTTTCTAGCCTTTGCAATCATATTATAATCTAGAAATCCTTTTTTTTCCACTAAAAGCAAATATATACATAGACCCTCTAATGTATCATTTGATAATATTAGAAAAATTAAATGTTTTGTTCCTAAAACAAAGGAAGAAAGCTTGTGTTTATTCATCATATATTAATTACACATCCATTAGGGGCTTGGCACTATTCCAAGTTGTAGGTAGTAGTATACAAAGTAGATAGACACTTGCTCCTACAGAATGTATGAGGTTGTGCATGTGTGTAGTATGTGTGTGTATATATAACAAACATGTAAATGGTGTTACCAGTAATCAAAGTAACTTATGTATTTTAAGAAGAATAAAAGTACGTGGAAAACAAGATTTTAAAACGTGGAAGGCAAAATTTTACCTATGTAATTTCTAAATCTCTGATCTCTATATCAAAATTTCTAAATCTCTATATCAAAATTATTTACGCTGCTTAGGTTTAAACTATATTTTTCTGGGGGAAAATGTACATTGATAAAGTTAATCTAGTTTGAATTCCTAGTCATACATTGTAGTTCATCAATGTGAAAAATTTTAGTTAACTTACTCAGTATAACTTACCACTTTGTGGAAGTTACAATTAGACTTTTTTTCCCTGTAACTACACATTTTGAAAACAAAAATGCCAATTTTAATTTCAGAAGAATGATAACAAATTTTCTTCACGAATTCAGATAGTCAACTTGAACCAAGCAATAAAATTATTTTAATTCCTAGCTAGGGCTGGGAGAGGGGGAGTAGTGCTACACAGTGTATTAGGGCAGGATGTCATGGTTGTGGTGGTGATTCTGGTGTTTGCTAATTTTTACTGATAAGCAAATAACCTCTGTGTCTTAATTACTGTACCAGTCACATGAAGGCAACCTTTTCAGGCTAAAGTCACCATGGTGTACCTTCTTTATAAACTCTCAGGGGACTGATTTTTTTTTTCCTTTTTCTTCACCTTATACCAAGAGAGAAGGGGACTGAATTCTTTCAGCATTTCTGGATTGCCTTGTAATGAAGTAAATGAATCTGTTTTGGATCTTGGACTAAAAATATTAAAAATAATGTGTTACACTACAAAAGACACAGGCTTTTTGTCACATGGAGGCTTTTTGTCACATGGGTCTGGATCCTAATGCTAGGTGTGCCGCTTACTGATGACTTGTCCAAGTTACTTGTAAGCCTCATTTTCTTCAGGTACAAAATGAAAATAATGATATCTGCTTTACAGAATTATTACAAAGATTAGAATAAAATTAGCTGTATCTCTAATTTTAGCACATACTAGGCTTTCAATAAATTCTGCTGTTAGGTCTGTAATATCTTTAAATTTATTTAAGTGTAATATCTTTAAATTTTAAATACTTGGTGTTCCATCTTAAAATTTGGTCATTATAGTCTAGGTTTTCATTTTAATTTAATAATGGAAATACTCATCATGGAATCAGTTTGAAACCAGACAGATAAGGTAAAATATGTTAACCCATGGTAGCTAATGTCACTTGTTGCCTTAATCTTTAATACATAATACATATTAAGCTTCATAATTCTTTAAGTTGGATTATGCAGTAATTTGTGCTAATTCAGATGGTAGAATTGGTAAGAGGCTTTTAGAGCCTCTTGCTTATTGGGGTTGCAGAGGTATTTGTTGTTTGCATTTTTTTCTAATATACATAGCTATTCTGCATCTCTATTCTTGATCTTGGGTGGGAAGTATCATGAAGAAATTATGTCACCATTCTTAAATTTTAAAACTCATGAAGTTAATACAGTATTTTGAAAGTTTGATTAAAGTGAGCTGCTATCTAGTTTTCAAATGTTCCTACAGCAGAACCATTGTCTAGTTTTCGGTGGCAGTTGATTTATATTTGAGTCAGGGTTTTGGGTTTGTGAAATGCAAGTCTAGTGATGTGTGAGTTTTAAGTTCATTATTTTCCCCAGATTTTAATGAGGTTAGAATAATTTTATGTGTTTTCCTTTTTTTTTTTTTTTTAGACGGAGTCTTGCTTTGTCATCTGGGCTGGAGTGCAGTGGTGCAATCTTGGCTCACTGCAACCTCCACCTGCCAGGTTCAAGCGATTCTCCTGCCTCAGCCTCCTGAGTAGCTGCTACTACAGGCGTGCACCACTACGCCCAGCTAATTTTTGTATTTTTAGTACAGACGGGGTTTCACCATGTTGATTGGTAAAGATGGTCTTGATCTCCTGACCTCGTGATCTGCCCACCTAAGCCTCCCAAAGTGCTGGGATTACAGACGTGAGCCACTGTGCGCGGCCCTGCTTATTTTTTAATATAAATGTAATAAAGACAATTTGGAAAATTATTTCTAAACTTTTTTCATGGACAAAATCTTTAGGTTTTTATACTTCGTTGAAGGGGGCTTTATTTTAAATATCCTGTAATTTCCAGTGATTCAGAGATACAGTAATTGCCCCCTCTTTTTTTAAGTTAAAAACAATACACAACATTTCAGTGTCAAGTGGTCCATTAGTAGTCTCTTGACTTACACACAGAAAGCCTGTCTGTATTTTTTGTACTCATTGGTTAGAAACTACAGCACATTATTTTTCTTCAAGCTGTATTTTATGTAGAGGAAAAACAGTTGGTATATCTGTGTTGATGTTGATTCATATATATTGGGTATTTTATTTATTTTTATAGTAAAATGTATTTTGACAAATGTAAAATGAAAAGGGGAAGATATCTAAATTCTTGAATTTGTTTTTATAGGAGTTCCATCTGGAATATGACAAATTAGAAGAACGGCCTCACCTGCCATCCACCTTCAACTACAACCCTGCTCAGCAAGCCTTCTAAAAAAAAAAAAAAAAAAAAAAAAAGACTTCCCTTTTCTTGGGGTATGGCTGTCTCAGCACAATACTCAACATAACTGCAGAACTGATGTGGCTCAGGCACCCTGGTTTTAATTCCTTGAGGATCTGGCAATTGGCTTACGCAAAAGGTCACCATTTGAGGTCCTGCCTTACTAATTATGTGCTGCCCAACAACTAAATTTGTAATTTGTTTTTCTCTAGTTTGAGCAGGGTCTGAATTTTTTCATTTATTTCCTTTTTTGCCAGCAGACAGACTTGAGTCTGTAAAGACAAGCAAATACACTGACAGAAGTTTACCATAGTTTCTAAAATGTAAAAAAGAAAACCCCCAAAAGACTCAAGAAAATTAGACCACAAATTTTGCATTGTTCATTGTAGCACTATTGGTAATAAAATAACAAATGTTTGTGCATTTTTATGTGAAGATCCTTCTCGTATTTCATTTGGAAAGATGAGCAAGAGGTCTGCTTCCTTCATTTTACTTCCCCTTCTGTTTTTGAAAGGCAGTTTCGCCAAGCTTAATGCAAGAATATCTGACTGTTTAGAAGAAAGATATTGCCACAATCTCTGGATGGTTTTCCAGGGTTGTGTTATTACTGAGCTTCATCTTTCCAGAATGAGCAAAACACTGTCCAGTCTTTGTTACGATTTTGTAATAAATGTGTACATTTTTTTTAAATTTTTGGACATCACATGAATAAAGGTATGTATGTACGAATGTGTATATATTATATATATGACATCTATTTTGGAAAATGTTTGCCCTGCTGTACCTCATTTTTAGGAGGTGTGCATGGATGCAATATATGAAAATGGGACATTCTGGAACTGCTGGTCAGGGGACTTTGTCGCCCTGTGCACTAAAAGGGCCAGATTTTCAGCAGCCAAGGACATCCATACCCAAGTGAATGTGATGGGACTTAAAAGAAGTGAACTGAGACAATTCACTCTGGCTGTTTGAACAGCAGCGTTTCATAGGAAGAGAAAAAAAGATCAATCTTGTATTTTCTGACCACATAAAGGCTTCTTCTCTTTGTAATAAAGTAGAAAAGCTCTCCTCACTGCAGTGTTGGCTTTGATTTGAAATTGCGAAATTATTTCTTCAACATGAAAAATAGAGGAAACAAACTGAAGTTTTACAGATATCAAACTGAATGGTGTGACTCAAATGTCTTTTTCAGCTTCCAACAAGTAATTTAATGGAAATATAGTGAACCGTTTCACTTGTAGGTTAAAAATGTAGACAGTATTAATCAGAGAAAACTTTTTTAAATGGGTTGTGGCAGCATTAGAAATAAAACATTCTGAATACTCTTGGAACCCAACCAAAGTACTTCTGTGAAAAATTTATGAGAAATTTCTTGATAGACCTTTAAATTTATCTTTAAGAAGTAATGTGCAAATGAAGGTAAGCCATAAGGTGGGAATGGGTAGACTTTACCTTCAGTTTGCTGGCCTAGATATCTCATATTTACAAGTTAGTGGATTCTTTTCCCATCTAAATACAAATACTGTATTTTAAAAATCAGAAGATTGAAGCTTCCAAAGCAGAACTAGAGAGTAGAAAAAAGGCAATGAGTTTTGATCCTTTAAATTTTCATTTTTAACCTATTTTTCTATGAAGAGTAAAAGTCTGTTGGCATTAACCAAATCTTTTGAAAATGAAACATTTATGACATTGCTGTGTTTGTGTACCAGGAATATAAAGTGGCTTAAAATTTACCTTTTTCTATGCATTTTGAGATATGAGAAACACTATAAAAAACAGGATTTTCTATCTTTCATAATTAAACCAAAGCATCTCCTCAGTAAGAAAGATAGCACTATATAAATCATTTTATCTATTGTGCACAAACCTTCACAGAACACTATACCTTATTTGACATAAACCAGAGTCAAAGCATAGAAATCAATCTAGAAAAAAAAAGATTACATTTTTCCTAGTAATTCACTTTGTAAAATAAAATGTAATTTTTCCTACATAACCACAAAAAACAAGTAGGAAGAAAAATGTGGAAGGGGATCTTTATTCTCATGAATATAAACAACAATATAGATTGAAGTCTCAGCTGAAGCGTGATCATGACTGGTACTGATGAATGACTCCGAAAAATAAGATAGCTCATACCAAGTGGTTTGTTGTCTTGGCTGTAATCTTTTTTTCTCTTTTTTTGTTAACTGCCATATACAGAGTTTTAAATGCACACTTTTCCATTTTTTTGAGTTCTTTTTATCCTGAATCATCAAAATGAAGAAACTCTTGCATGTTAGCCAACTTTTTATAACTTGTTAATATCAGAAATTACCATGCTATGGACTTCAAAATACAAATTACTCTATTTGAAATATTTAAAACACTACTTTGAACTTTTTAAATGTAACAGTTATAATACGCCTTGATTTTATAACGTGGTTATACATGTAAAGAGGCTGAATCCAACTAATTATATTTCACATTTTCTTTCAAAGCTTTAATTCTGTTAATTTCCCCCTATATAGCTAGTGAAATAGATGTGTACACTATGTTAAATAAATTTTTTAGATTAAACTATGATTGGCTTTCTGGGAATAAAAGCTATTTAATTGCAAAGGGAAATCCTTTATTTGGTTTCAAATATAATTATTTAGGTGGTATTATAATTTATATGCTAAAGCTCTATTTTCAGAGACTTAACTACACAAATAGTTTTCCTTAGATATAATACATTTTAAGAACTGAAAGTTTATGTTAATTCTTAAAGTATATATAACTAGTCTGTTTCTTTTTGACACTGAAATTGGGACAAAGCAGGTGCTTGATAGTTGTTGACTGATAAAAGTTGATATTTCAATTTGAAAATAAAGTATAAAGCATTGGGCTTTGAGATAGCTTACTCAATTATCATTTGCTATAATTTCATTTTCACAATAATCTTTTTAAGCATTTTCAATAACTTTTAAATATTTCAAATTTTTCCAGTCTATAGCTTCTCTAATTGATAAATCCTCTTCTATTCACAAGCCATAGATCTTCCACTTTGTTATATCCATTGCTCATAAAATATGTGGCATCTGAGCATGGCTGTACAGTAGGACTCATTTCATTTAACTTAGATTTAATAGCTCAATTTTGCAAAAAGTTGCTGAAAACCTATACGTGTGTGGAAACAGGATTGTATAATACATTAACCATGGTTTGTCTATGTAGTTAATAAGATCTAGAAATATCTACTAACTAGGTTCCATTGAGATAGTCTCTGGAGAATGAACTAAGCCAGACATTGAGATGCCTTTACTTTCTAAAAGTTGGATCCTAATGGCAGGTCACAAGGCTGTCTCCTTGCCACTGGCATTACCAGTGACTTTGATTATACCATGAATACATGACAGATCTGGAAGATGAAGCAAATAAACTCACTGAAGGTTAAAATTGGGATCTAAATCTAACCAAGTAGTTTGGTGTGTAGAGTTGAATCAAATAGGATACATTCAATCAAGAAAATTACTTAGTTTTGCACTTTGATTGTTAATAAAGAATGGTGGAATATAACATGATTTGAGTGGTTCATATATAGATCAGTAAGAATTGTGATCCTGTTGCCAAAAATACTAATGTAATCTTCAGCTACATTAAGAAAAATATAGCACTCAGAAAAAGATAGGAAGCCCACTCTACTGGAAGTAATCACTCATCTGAAATGTCATCTTCTGTTTGAATGCTGTATTAGAAGAGCTGCCATGCCTGGGGAAGGCAGAAGGGGATGGAGAAGTAGCATGCCTTCTAGCTGCCTGGCAAATGCTGTGTGTTTTTATATACATTGTTGTCTGAAGAATAGCATCATGAGGTGAAATTTAGTGTTCCCATTTTAGAGTAAATTTTAAAAACAAATAGGAATACAATTTTGGAAACATGGTATTTGTCTTCAGGTATCAAATTCAAGAGCTGTCAATGAAAGGCAATTAAGCTCATTCTTGTGACTGGAAGAGCAGAACTAGGACAAATAAGGGATTTCAGTGCAATATTAAAAAGTAACTGAGTTAATTCAGATTTTTAAATCAGTTGCTTTGTAAGGCGTTAGATTTAACTTCATAGGACATAACCTAGGAGAGACTGGCTGGATAGTGTTCTGTGCATAAGGTAAGGAGTTGAATGTCTTAATGTTCCTGTGGCTCATTGAAAAAGTGTTAAAGTAAGTGAGATAATTACTGTATTTCAGCAAATCTAATTGCCATCAATTGTAAGGGACACCATTTTATGTACCACTAAGACAAGCTGCCAATTACAGAATGTATCTATTATGTGAAGAAAGAACGTGCATCTTAGAATTGATGAGATGTAGGTCTTGGAGACAACTAAAGAATACTAAGGGGAGGCATGACAGTTGTCATCAAACACAGGAAGAACTGGAATAGGGCAAGTCTCAAACCAATAAGGAGAAGTTGAATGAAACAGACTTTTTCTATATTAAGGTGCTACACAGTACTAGCTGCTTCATGAAGTAAAGGTTCAGTCAATGTGCAAACAAACTGAATGACTCTCAATTAGTTGACAGGACTGCCTTTTTAAATAAAAAGTTGAATGTGATTACTTCCAGACCTCTTTTCAGCTCTTTAAGGTACTGATACCCTTTTCTTGATTTGAAGTTGGAGACTATGATGTCATCAGGGCTAAAAGGTATATACTTAAAGCATTGACCTTTAAGTACATAAGAATATGCTGTTCTGTGAATCATGGATAAGGTATACTTAAAATCACTGCTATATCTTTGGAAAGAAATTTAAATCAAAAAAGAATTACAAAAGGCAACTTTATTGAACTTACATGTAGAGTTGTTTTGATGTTAGGAGTAGGAATGTGAAACATTAATAAAGCACAACAAATAGTAATCATATGTATGTGTGTATTCACCAGATTTATTTATGTGTATATTTCTACATTTGAAAGAGGAAAAAGACAATTTTTAAGTTTTGACGTAAATGTTTAGTCTGAAATTGTACGTTGCATTAGTGTGCAATCTCCTGGGTACAAGTACTAAGTAGAATAAAATCTTGTTTCTTAAAATCCCACTAAATATTATAATCCCTGTGTATCAGGGGCATTCATTTACTTTTTCCTATAACATCCAATGTTCTAGGGCAGAAACCATGTTACTACAATAGTATTTGTTAGCAGAACAGGAGGAAAGCTGAATCCATATATAAATATAAAACAGCAAAAGTGCTTTTATCTCAGTTATTTCCTGGGAATATTTCTGCTGATCTTAAGATTTCCTCTTCAGTTTGTATGTATAAAAACTGATAATGTAATGGGAATTACATTATCAGTTATGTATGCATTAATTGAAGGTTTTTTAATCCAATTAAACAGTTGTGTAAATACTGTGACAAGATTTTAGTGACATGTCTCTTTATCATAAGAACTCAAGATTTATAGGGCTTTTTAAAAAGCTAGTCATTTCCATGTTTATTGTACAGTTTTCTCTCAGTTATTTAAATGACTTCTTGAAAGTGTCAAAATTCACAAGGTCCTAATTGTCATAATTCTCTATCTTGAAAATCCAAATTATTGCATAGTCAAATAGCATATGATAACCAGTTGACATGTGCTAAAATACTTAAACTATCTTCTACATAGCAAAGCCAATTTTTCATTCTTTTTGAAATTTATCTTAGTTTTCATTTCTAGGCCTGAAAGGCCATACCATACCACCAAAATGTTTTGACATCTTTCTTAGAGAAGATTAAATAAAACTGGCTTTATGCCAAAAGTGTTAGTTCTTTTAGACAATAATTGAAGGCACTAGCTGAGGAAAACAAATCTTTACTATGAATCAGAGCTGGTCTCTAATTTGTATGTGTTTCCTGAAATGTAATGTTTTTGTGATTTGCATTTATTTTTGGCCTAAGTGACATTTTGACCATATAATTTACTTTTAAAACTTACAATACATGCTTTTTTCTTCCAGGCCAAACTATTTCCTAGTGCATAATGAAGATAATTTTGATGATAATACATGAATTCTTCAAACATTTTGGAAGAATACTTCAAATTTCAAGGGTGGTATGATGTCCACAAATCGCTGAGTCTGCTTGATTCTTTTTAGAATCAGGCCTCTTGATACTAATTTATAATGAGAAAACTATTTTAAATTAAACATTTATTCTTCAAAATTATACATCTGAATGAGAAAACATTACATGAGGGAATGATATAAATAGTTTCATCTTCTTATGTATAAAAATAAAGATTTGGGGCAGCCAGAATGTTTCAAAGCTACCTTTAAATCTGTTACATACTGAACATTTATTTTAAGATGGAGTTTTAATTACCATATGTAACAGTGCATGAAAAATGGGCTGTCTTTGAGTTAAATATTTCCCCTCTTAAGAGAAAGATATGTTTGTTTTTTTATTTTGAATGTTTTAACTTATTGTCTTCAAGTGGTTAATATTCTTCAAATATAACATGCTGTCTATTGCATGAGTTATATCTCAGTTTTAAAAAATGCAAGTCATGTTACTCCTCTGCTCAAAAAGTTATTTCCAGATTTCCCTTTTTTTATCTAAAGTTTTGTATAATTTTTTTCAGTTCACTCTAAATGACTTAATATAGGTCTAAAATTTGAATATTAGTTGACTTGTATATCACTATTAGGAATCCAAATTCCCTACATTTGCAATGACACTGTCATTGAACAACAAAATCCATTATCCTAGAAGTGTTTGTAAATTGGAATATCATGGAAAAGAAAAGCTCAGACTTTCGAATGTTAAAGTGGGGCATCCTTTCCAACTTTGACTTATTATTCTTAGCATTTTGGACTAAGGGTAAAACCTTAGTTTCCTACATCATATCAAAAGAGAATACTGAAGAAACTGGAAGTTGTGCATAACAAAAGGCCTAGGAGAGACATAATGGCTGTCTTCTCACCTCTGAGGTAGAGTCATTTGTAAGGCTTAATCCTTTTTTTTTTTTTTTTTTTTCTTGAGACGGAGTCTTGCTCTGTCGCCCAGGCTGGAGTGCAGTGGTGCGATCTCGGCTCACTGCAAGCTCCACCTCCCAGGTTCACGCCATTCTGCCTCATGTAAGGCTTTATTCTTAAAAATATCTTTATCCTACATAACGCCAGAGGACAGAATAAGGACCATTACATAGCTGTTATGGCAAGGCAAATTTCAATCTACAGTAATAAAGTACCAGTTTATAATTTTTCAAAAGTTCCAGAAATCATTAGGAGTTATATCTTTCCATCACTGGAAGTGTCCAAGAAAAGGCAAAAAAAAAAAAAAGTATTATTAGAAATATTCGATGATGCTTTTCAGTCTGCAGAGGATAGGATTTCCTTCTGCCTTATAACTATTGCACATCTAGTTATTCCCTGTATTTACTTCTACCTTGAATTTTAGCTTGAATTTTTAGCAAGCCACTAGAAACCTAACTTAATCTCTCTGTTCCACATAAAACAGTACTACTACTATTTGCTAAGCATCTGAAGAGGCTATTTTCAACACAAATGTGATTCAGAGTAAAATTAAGCAGGGGGACCAGATTAAATTATTAGTTCCTTCAGCCTCTACTCACCGTCCCCTTCATAATCGTTTCACAGTAGAGATTTTGATTAAGCCTAACTGTACTTAAATATAAGTATAGAAACACATTTTAAATCCATTCATAAATGCTTTTTGTATTATCTACACTTCATTTTTGTTAACAAATTTCTTAGAAGTGGCATAGTATAGTAGAAAAATTGTTTTAGGTAATTTATTATCTTCGAGTAGTTAGTATTTCTTAAATATAAGATACTATGTAAAATGCAAATATAAAATCCCCTGGCCCTGTCACAATATGTGTGCAGTCTTGCAAAAATTACCTAATCTCTGAATGTTTTTCCCTCTTCTTCTCATGGGAAGGTTAAATTAAGGCATTTGTAAATAACCTAGCTTATATTAGGTGTTGCATCGACGTAGGTCCATTTCTCTAAAGACAAACACTCTTCCTGTTAGCCATCATGCTAGGACAGGCTCTCCATGTTTTTGGATTCTGTTCAAGACCTTTTAACTTCACTAGATACTGTTATATAGCAATACCCAATTTTCTAAAGTGCATGGCAAAACAAAAATGGGAATTAGATACTAGAATACTAAAACTCTTCTAGACCAACCCTTTTGTACGACAAGGAGGAAACTAATATTGCTATGGTTTAAAAGTGTCCCCCAAATTTAATGTGTTAGAACATATTCCCCAAATTCATATTTTTGATGGCATTTCGAGATGGGGCCTTTGGGAGATAATTAGGATTAAATAAGGTCATCAGGGTGTGGGGCCTGATGGGACTGGTGGCTTTATATGTACAGTGGCCTGAGTTAATAGGCATTCTTGCTTTCTTGCTATGGAACTGCCTTCTGCCATGTTAGGGTACACAAGGACCTGACCAGATACTACTGTCATGCTCTTGGACTTCCCAGCATCTAGAATTGTAAGAAATAAGTTTCTTTATAAATTACCCAGTCTCAGGTATTCAGTTATAGCAACAGAAAATAGACTAAGAGGATTATTTACCTTGTGTCAAATTATTTACTACTAAAGCTGGGACCAAAACCTCTTGGCCTCTATGTTTCAAGTTCCAAAGCTGATTTCCCTTTTACTACATACCTGTGTATATCTCTCCCATACAGATTCACTGCAGTTAACATGAAAGACTCAACAGTTGGTGAGATTTTAGGAACTCTAGAGCACTACCAGTATGGTATTAAAAATTTGCTAATCTATCCAGAATGTAAATTTTAATGGAAAAAATGTGAATTGATTGTCTGTGTTTTGCTTTCCTCAGTTGCAAACATAAAGGCTATACACAAACATAAATTTGAGCTTTTAAAAAATATTTTAAATAACTACAATTACAAGCAAAATGCAAAGTCTGGGAGCTTCTTGGTTAATGTTGAACTAGGCAATGGTTAAAATCCCTTCCTGTTCTAATTTACTGTAATTAGAGATAGTAAGTAGTGTTCTTAGTAATAATTATATGCTCATTTTAATAGGTGAAGTTTATGGCCAGGAAAAAACAATCAGAAAAAATAGTGACCACATAGGAAATGTATTTTGAATTTAAAATTCTGAGGCTAATAACAAATATTTAACACTCATAATGGAGCATGGCAAGGAAATTAATTTGGTATCAGCAAGCTGGAACTCAATTTCCTATGACATTAACAAAATCTATAATTATAGCTGCTGAATCAAGAAGAAAATATAAAATGGTTTTATATGGTTTTCTTTGTTGGATCACTCATACTTTCATCATGTGTAATATCTAGTAAAAAAGGTCTAAACTCTAGAACGTAAATTTTAATAGAAAAAGTGATTATACATTATTTTCCTATGTATTTTCGCTTTTCAAGTGTTTAGTGGCAGTTATCAAAAAACTTCATAATGTGCCAATTTTTGAAAAAATTTTCCCACCTGCTGTAAATTCCCTTCTATTCCTAGGATACAAAAGCCTGCCTTAAAATTATTTTTAGAATCTTTTATTAAAAAGTATATATACATATGATATTGTATACTGCAACTTTAGCATCAGCCACAGGACTTTTTGAATATTGATCATGAGAACAAATTATAAGTAACATGGCTTTGATGCCCTTGTTTAGACAGGCTTTATTTTTCTTTTAAATTGAACTTTATCAAGACCTGGCCATGATCCTACTGGAAAAACTACTGCAGACGATGTACATCAAATAAGTCAGTCTGGTTCTTAATATTACATTTTTAATCTTAATTGGTGGAACACTATTCAAAGAAAGGACTAGCTGCTTTTTCTGTGCTACTTCCACCTTTCACAGGGAACAGAGATTTTAAGTGACCTCAGATCTTAGCATTTCTGAGCTTTCCTGGAGTTCTTACTACCATTCTGACTTAGTAAGTGGTGACCTGTATTCTGAAACTGAGGGGCTGACATATCCAATCTTCCTTGGGAATGTGATAAAGCAGCTCCGCTTCAAGTAAGTAAAACTAATAAACACTTCCAGTGTTTCATTAAGAATAAAATAGAAATTGATTTAATTTGTGAAGTCTTAATACGTTTGACTTTCAATAAAGATGTGAAGATAAAAGTGTTCAGAGAAAAGCTAAATTAAAAACAGGAAACAGGAGAAAAAAATGTCTAGAGAACAGAAGACACAAGTTTCTTTAAATACTTTAAGAATAATTGCCAAGAAAGAAATTGACTAAATGCAGAACTGAAAGAAAATGAATTTTAAAACTTCAAGAATTTCAGTTAAAATAAGATAGAATTTTCTGATTTTGTTCCCTAGACTTAGACCACCGTACTTCAGTTTTGAGGCAGAGGTTTCATTCACAGAAGACTTTGAGCTCTGGAATCATTGAAAAACGAACCATATTCATTAAATTATTGGTAGTCCCCCAACTGCTGTGCATTAATAGGAATTAATTCTGCCTCATTTCAGTTCCTCAACATACTGAGCTAGAATAATTGTATCTTGTTATTTGTTCATCATTGCTTCAGATCTTAGACATAGCTTTTCCTTTCTTGGAAAAGAAGATTATAACAATAGAAAAAAAAGATTATTTCCTATGTTTTTTATTTTTCCTGCAATAGGAAAAAGATTCAGATTGAAGATTTGTGATTTTCGGTTATGCTATTTCAATTATTAAACTCACTTTTAAGCAATGTAATCACAATTGTCTTTATGCTAACAGGAAAAGAATACAATTCTTACATTTAAATTAAAAAAAGAAAATCTCAAAACCTGAAAGGTATTAGAGAACAAAGCATCTTCCTAATTTGGACGTTTTTCAAACTCTACATCTTCTTAATTTATTGAGAAAAAGACACTTAGGATCTTCCTGTAATTAATTTGCCCATTGCTGGGAAATACTTGTTACCTGTCATAATGTAGTGCTTCAAAATAACGTTATCAGAACTGCAGTCGAAAGGTACTCAATACCAGTTAAGTAACATTTGAAGTCCAGGAAAGAGAAGTCAAGAATTCCATGATTCCATGTTTCCGTATTCATCAGGAACATAATTAAGAGTTTATTCATTTGAGACTTACAAGCAAACAAAAAAAGTTTATGTAGTTTGCAAGGAAGTTAATATTCTGATTTTATTCTTCGAAATGTACATATAAATAGTTCTCAAGTTTGATTTTATGATAAAAGTGTAGTTTGGGAAAAGGTCATTCTAACTTTAAAAAGGTCGCGAAAACAATAGAGGCTGAAGCATTGTTAGCGTAATTGGGGGAGGAGGGAGCAACGGCAAGAATTAAGAGCAGAACACAGGTCTAGAAACAGTACCTGTCCCAAAGTGGGTCTGCCCGGCGCTGTCGCTTTAAGCAGCGCTCCTGGAAACCTCATCTACAAATCCTGGGGCGGGTCAGGGGTGGCAAGACTCCTAAGGAGGGAAACGACAGAAATGATTCTGTTCTTGCGAGCCCCAAAGCAAGAGTACTTTTCTGATGGGTAAAGTGGTATTTCTTTCCAGGCTGCAAAGCTCTCCACCTTTTTCCTTTGGTCTCAGTCAGCCCCAGCCATGGGGGCAAATCAAGTTGGGGTCAACTCGGCTGCCAGAGACCTAAGTTGCCACAAGGGTCACCGACGACCTAAGCAGCAAGTTTCCTTCGTCCAGCCTCCTGCCCCCACGCACATTGCCTCCACAGCAAACTCCACCTGACTCAGCTTGTTTAACTCCAATCCTGCAGCCCTCCCGGCCTCAGCAGGGTCAGGGGGCGCGGGTCTGCGCCAAGACGGTTAGGAGGCCCAAGTCCTGGGACTGGACGGTTACTGCGCTCCCTTGGGCGCAGCCGCTGGCGGCGTGGGCGCGGCTGGGTCACGCCTCCGGCACCACCGCGCGCCAGCCCGCCCGTGGCATGGGAACCTGCGATTCAGTCGTCCCCGGGGACCTCCCAGCGCACACCGCTAGCCTGGGGCTTTCACCTCGATCCGCCCGGCCTGGGCGGCTCGTGTCCTCCCACACCGCCACCCGTGCCCGCTTCCCGGGGTGCGCCCGGAGCCTGGCCGCTCTCCCTGCAGGTGACCAGTACTCGTTTGGAGTTCAAGATTCCCGCCGCTCCACTTGAACTCCACCCTCCCCTCTTATTATTATTATTATTTTAACTTCCCTCCGGTTAAGCTAAATTGATCTTAATCTTTCATCTCGGACGTCCCTCTAAGGGGAGTGAGCGAAGATTCCGATTGCAAGTCGCCGCTGTCGCTTGTGCCCGTCAGCCCCTCGCCCAAAGGAGACGCCCCCGGGCGGGGCGGGGCGGAGCGGGGCGGGGCGGAAGGGCCCGGGTCTGCTGCGGACGGGGCGGGGCGGAGCCTCCTCCTGCACGGGGGAGCCCCCGGGCTCGCCCCAGCTCAGACACTCCTAGCCTTGGGGCAGCTGCCGGGCGAGTCAGCGGAGTAGCGGCCAGCGGGCGATGGAGACAGAGAGACACCCGACGAGAGGAGGCGGGGTGGGGGAGGCGGGGAGAGTGCGGGGGCGGAGGCTGGCAGGGGGCGCTGGAAGCTGGAGCGGTCCGTGCGCTCCCCGCGCCCGAGGGTGCAGGAGGCTCTGAAGCGGCTGCTGCACCGCGGGGCCCAGGCGGCGGCTGGGGGGCTGGGGGGCGCTGCCGCCGCCGCCGCCGGGGGCGTCGCTGGCCTCGGCCCCTTTGTTCTCGCGCGCTCCCCCTCGCCGCCCACTCCCCTGCTGTCGCGCGGCGGCGGCGGTGGCGGCGGCGGCTCCTCCCGCCCGAGGCAGTCGGGCTCGGCGCCGGGGGCGGGAGGGGGCGGGGGGAGCACGCCAGCCGCCGAGAGTGGGGGGCGATGGCGAAGCTCCGGGTGGCTTACGAGTACACGGAAGCCGAGGACAAGAGCATCCGGCTCGGCTTGTTTCTCATCATCTCCGGCGTCGTGTCGCTCTTCATCTTCGGCTTCTGCTGGCTGAGTCCCGCGCTGCAGGATCTGCAAGCCACGGAGGCCAATTGCACGGTGCTGTCGGTGCAGCAGATCGGCGAGGTGTTCGAGTGCACCTTCACCTGTGGCGCCGACTGCAGGGGCACCTCGCAGTACCCCTGCGTCCAGGTCTACGTGAACAACTCTGAGTCCAACTCTAGGGCGCTGCTGCACAGCGACGAGCACCAGCTCCTGACCAACCCCAAGGTAAGAACGCCCCGCGCACCCAGGGGCTCCCCGCGAGGGAGGTTTGGAGGCAGCGTCGGTGTTAGACTCCGCGCGGGGAGGGTTCGGCGTGTGCTCGCATTGCTAGGAGGAGACCAGGTGGCGCAGGCTGTGCTCAAACCAGGAATGACTACATCAGGGAGCCCCAGGGCTCCGGTCTTTTCAGGTGGGTTTACGCGCGGCGACCAGTGGTGCCCAGAGGCTTACTTTAAAACCTGTCTTGCCTGGTCTCAGATTTTGAGGCCTCGACCCAGTCCGGGTCCTGCGCCTACCGGACTGGGTTTGGAGAAGTGCAAGGAGCCAAGAAAGTTAACTTTTCCTCCATTTAAAGCCAGTGGTTAGCGGGGATCCACCTACTCCAGCTCACGGTCAAGGTCCGAGCTTCAGCTGGTCTCATCTAGAACTCAGATGGAATGACCTTCCTTGAAAGGTCGAGGGGACTCTCGAAAGTTGTGAGAGAGTTCCTCACCTTTTCGCTCTACATAGGCATTTTCAACTTGGGGTTCAAAGATAAGCTTTTGTGGCTTGACAAACGACCCGGAATCAAATGTGGAATATTGCGGGTCCATTTTGGGAAGTACAGAGGGCTCCTAGTTTTCATGAAATAGATTCTCAAAAGAGTCTACAGGGAGCCTAGTTACCCTTTGTGTTTAGGGACAGTCAGGAGTCGTCTGGAGAACAGTAAAACTTGCTGAAAATAGAAAACCTTCAGTGAAATGTACCTAATATGACTTCTCTGACAACTTCTATTGGTCTCGAAAGCAAGCAAGAAGAAAAAGAAAAAGAAAAAAAAAAAAGATAAAACCTGGTTAGGACTCCCGGGATGGAGAGCAGAGAGAGGAAGTCTCAGAAAACTGTTCCCAATGGAGAAAAATAACTTATAAAAAGCAGTGTCCTTAGCCTGTGAACTAATTGAGCTTTGTAGTGCACCTGGTTCTGGTTCCGTTTCTACTTCCCTTGATCTTTTCTGCTCTCCTTGTTGCTTAACTATCAAAGGTATGTATCTTTTTAAAAGTTACTGACATTTTTCCTTTTTTTGAGGGATCAAGCAGAAAAACAGTCCAAAAGGGAATGCATCTTGTGTTCACAGGAAAACTTTCTGTTAACTCTAACAAGATATATTTATATTAATCCAAAAGAAAAAAATTCTACATTAATATTATAATAGTATTTAAAACAGCTTACCGTCACTCTGCAATAAAACTTGTGGTCTTACCTCCTGAACAGTAAATTCTTGAATTTGAGACATTTAGAAAATATTTCTTTTTAAAAATATGAATGACTCCTCTCAAAAAAAAAATGCTCCTGTCGACAAATGAATATTGATTTACCTTAAAAAATATCAATAATACATAAGCAGTAAATATAGGACTAAGAATATAGAATTTGGAGTATAATGTTAAAGATCTTGAAGAGGTGATAACGTCTCAAAGACAAATGTTGTAACTTGATCCTCTTAATGCTCAGGAATTTAAAAAGAAATCTCAGGGTTTTAGAAACATTTTTTTTTTTAGAATTAAATCAATAATGTCAAAGATGAGTGCCAACCAGTAGTAATGATTTAGAAATTATATGGCAGTTCATCATTTAGAAGTTGTTATAGTTGGTGAAACGTTGCTAATTATTTTAAGATAGTGGTTCAAGCACTAATAAATTTCATATCTATATATACATATATATGCACACACACATTAATAAATGGCTAATATCTAATCAAGACAAGGACAAATTATAATTTATTACAAAAAGACTGCTTCACAATTTTCAGGCAGTTTGAAGTATCTGGCAGAAAAAGTAAATTGAAATCATTGGGACGTTGATTTTTAAATTACCTAGAAGCAATCCCAATGCTTTATGTAATACTAAAATTTCTCCTCTCTCTTTTCTTTATCTCTCTCTCCCCTGAAAATAATCATTTTTTTTCCAGTGCCAGTTCAGATCTTGGCAACAGTTGTTTTGAAAAAGTACCTGAACAAAATACATTTTATAAAGTAAAGTATTCAGGAACTGACAGAACTGGAGAAGAATATATTTATGTTACAGAAGTCATGGACAACATCCTATTCATTTTAGTCAAGGTTTTCTCAGCCAAACCAATTTATATCTCTTTATCCAGATTATAATTATGTTGTATCATTTATAGACTGTAAGTTTGTTCTTTAGCATCACCTTTCTATTTTTGACCAATAAATTCTCAATTTGGAAATTCTTATAGGCAGTGTGATGGAAAAATTCAATGTAATAAAAATATTATGCCAGAGTCATGTACATAAGCAGAGTGTTTCCACAGTGTCCCTGCAATTAGGCAATACCCATTGTCCATTCCTGTTGGCTCTTGGCTGCCTAGATCTTTTCTTTGCCTTACTTTACCTCTTTATTGAAGGCCTATGCTTCCCCTCTGTTTCTTTGTAGAATGTCTAGATTCCCAACAGTGTCTTGAATCCCAGCCGCCTCCAGGCTTTTCTTCATGACCCACCAACACAAGAAACCACTTAGGAAATCACTTCTTAGAAAAAATAGAATAAGGAGTTTTTTCCTCTCCCTTGAGTTTCCTGCATTAATTACAGTAAGAGGCAGGAGAGGGAAAGAATACATTGCAAATACAGAATTTCTTAAGCCATAAGCTGCTGAAGAAGATACTGTGAGTAAATTTGATCTTTGACTAATAATTTCTTTAAAATACCTTGAGTTCCTACTGAATTTATTTGTATTTTGAATCATATCCTTATTGTCTAAAGCAATCACTATATCCAGTCTTGTAATAGAGTATTCAAGGCAACAAATTGTCCACAGGGAGATTATCTCTGTGGATTAACCATAGCAAAATCTAAATTCGGGGTCAACTTCCTCTTGCTACTATTCCAGTCACTGCACTATCTCTTGGTGACTCACAGTTGTATATGCTAGGAGCTTTGGTTCTCACCTATGGCTGTACCTTAGAATCACCAGGGGAACTTTAAAAAGAAGTTCTTATGGCTGGGTCCAACTCTCCAAGATTCTGATTTGGTCTTGGGTGGGGCCTGGGCATTGATGTTTTTTAAAAGTTCTGTGATGATTCTAATGTGAAGACAAGATTCAAAAACCACTGTCTTAGAAAATGTTCTCATCTGCTGTGCAAGAAAAACAACCTGAGAACCAAAAAGGAGTCATTGTGATTAATATTTGTGTTTTCAGATTAAAAGATATTGTTGGTGCTACTGAATTTTTTGTTTTTTTTTGTTTTTTTGTTTTTTTTTTGAGACAGAGTCTCGCTCTGTCGCCCAGGCTGGAGTGCATTGGCATGATCTCGGCTCACTGCAAGCTCCGCCTCCCTGGTTCATGCCATTCTCCTGCCTCAGCCTCCCGAGTAGCTGGGACTACAGGCGCCCACCACCACGCCTGGCTAATTTTTTCTATTTTTAGTGAGATGAGGTTTCACCATGTTAGCCAGGATGGTCTCGATCTCCTGACCTCGTGATCCACCCCTGCCTTGGCCTCCCAAAGGGCTGGGATTACAGGCATGAGCCACCGCGCCCGGCCAGTGCTACTGAATTTAGGGAGTCGGTATAAAAGGAAATTCTGAAGGAAAGGGAGAGTATTATTTAAAATTATTATGTAAATAATAGTTTAAAACCAATAAGTTTAAATGAAATGAACTTGATTCCAGACATTTGCATTTGCATAATTATATACATTGGATGGCCAAAAAAAAAAAAAGGTGAGTTTTTAAAACTGCCCTCTTGTATGTGAGACAAGACAGAGTGAGTGATTAGAGATAATATGGTTATTTCATTTATTTATTTATTTATTTTTGAGTCTCATTCTGTTGTCCAGGCTGGAGTGCAGTGGCATGATCTCAGCTCACTGCAACTTCCGCCTCCTGGGTTCAAGCAATTCCCCTGCATCAGCCACCCAAGTAGCTGGGCTTACGGGCATGTGCTACCACACCCAGCTAATTTTTGTATATTTAGTAGAGACAGGGTTTCACTATGTTGGCCAGGCGGGTCTCCAACTCCTGGCCTCAAGTGATCCCCCTGCCTCAGCCTCCCAAAGTGCTGGGATTACAGGCGTGAGCCAACACGCCCGGTCTATATGTTTATTTTTATTTTGAGTTTTTTTTTCCCCTTCCTCTAATAATAAAAACCTAGAAACAAAGGATAAAAGGCTCCTTCTAAGAAACCAGTACTCTAGAAGTGAGAGAAATGCATTAAGGAGAAGAAAAACTTAGGTGGGACTGAATAAGGCTTCAGGCATTACGTTTGCTGAAGTTGGATGTACCTAACTACAGGGCGTGGTGGCTCACAGTCACCTAGGCCCTCTCCACATCCACTCATGTACCCTGTCCCAGTGCACTGTAGGAGAGGCAGTGTGGCCTGCCTGGAATTGTTTCTGAACTCCTTCCTGGAACATTCAGTTTGATACATTTTGCGCTCTAGAGACATCCATCATATCAGAACTACATGATAAAAGGCTAAGCAGAATTGTGATGACTTCTTTGTAACCTTTATTTATCTTGAAAAAGTGGCATTTCTTGGTTGTTTTTCCTTTGGAGATGATGTTATATAATGTTTGGTATATACATAAAATTCAATCAGGAAATCCTTTTTCAGCATCTATTATAATGATCAAAGAACTGGGCAAGAAACTAGAGGGCATACAAAGATGAATATGTTCACTTAACAAATATTCATGAAACACGTATCCTGAGCTATGTGTGCATTCAGGTGCTGAGACTAGAATATAGGTCAAAACAAAGTTCCTGCACTCATGGAACTTATATTCTGCTGGGAAGTAACAGACAAGAAATAAATGTATAATGCCATGTCATGTAATGATAGGTGGATAAAGAAAATTTGGGCAGGATAAGAGTATAGACAGTGACAAAATACGTGAAGGGCTCTTCTTTTGGACAGGGTGGTCAGGGAAGGCCGCTCTGATGAAGTGACATTTACACAGAGACCCAAAGAACATGAGGGGATGAGCAGAGACAGAAGGGATGTAAGTAATGAATCATGTGGCTATCTGGAGACAAGAGTGTCCACCAGCTGAGGAAATAGCACATGCAAAGGCCCTGTGACAAGTGTCTGTGTGAGGAACTATGAGGGCGAAAGTGAGGTTGGACCACAGTGAGCAAGGTGGACAGTGGGAAATGAGGTTAGGGTCCTAAAGAACACGATACGGACTTTGGATTTTATTCCAAGCATGATGGGAATCTGTGACATTAAGCGGGGCTGAAATATCATCAGACTTAGACTTTTAAAAAATGCAAATGATCCCTCTCGCTGCTGAGTTGAAAACAGAATTTATATGTATGTTTACATGCACATGCACACATTCTGACTTGTGCAGTGAGAGGTGCAGAGGCAAGACTTGAAACAGGAAGTCCTGTAGGACAGGCAAAAGATGGTGGTGGCTTAGATCAGTGGGTAGCACTGGTAAAATTTACTAATGAATTGGATATGAGGAATGAGGGAAAGAGGAGTTGAGAATGGCTCCAAAGTTTGTGTCAAGTGCAACTGGGTGAACGGAGGTGCTTTTAGTGATGGGAAAAACTAAAGGAATAGTAGGTCTGGAGGAGTGTGGATGAAAATCAAGGGTTCAGTTTTGCATATGCCTAACAGACATTAAATATGAGGATGAATCCATGAGCCTCTGTCCTCAAGGAAATTATTACCTAGCAGAGGAGATAAGGACACAAATAACTGTCAAACAAGGCAGAATGTCAAGTTCTACAGAGAGGTACAAACATTATGATATGAACATCCAGAGGGAAAAAGTTAGGGGGAAAGCTTCATGGAGAAAGAAGCATTTGCTATAAGTCCGAGGATGAACAGAGTTTCATCTTGGTGGTGAGTAAAGGGAGGCAGGGTGGAATGAAGAGAACATCAAAGAAGATAAAATGCAAGAAACAAAGCTATGAGCTGTGTGAGTGTGGGGTGTGTTGGGGGATCTGGATGGACTGGTGTGTGTGGAACACAGGGCACATAGAATGAGGTCTTGGGGGTAAGGCTGGAGAGTAAATTCGAGCCCACAGTGTAGAAGACCCAGGCAGCCAGGATGGGTTTGCTAGATACTGGGAAGCCATGGTAGGAGGAATAATGTCTCCCTTCCACGATGTCCACATCCTAACCCTCAAAAACTGTAAGTGTCTTATGTCACATAGCAAAGAGAAATTAGAGTTAAAGAGGGAGTTAAGGTTGTTAAACAGTTGATGTTAAAATAAGGAGATTATCCTGAGTTATCCAGACAATCCCAATGGAATCACAAGGTACTTAAAAGTAGAAGACAGAGGCAGGTCAGAGTGATAGAGTTTGAGAAAGATCCAACCAGCCATTGCTAGCTTTGAATACAGAAGAGGGCCATGCGCCAAAAAAAGCATGTAGACTCCTTCTCCAAGGAAGTGGTAAAAGGCAAGAAAATGAATTTTCCGCTAGGCATTCAGAAGAGAACGCAGCCTGGCATCTTGGTTTTAGCCCAGTGAGACACATTCTAGATTCTGACCTCCAGAATTGTAAGATAATAAATTTGTGCCATTTTAAGCCACTAAGTTTGTGTTACAGCAGCAATAGGAAACTAATACAGAAGTCAAGGACGGTTTTTGAGTAGGTGACTTATGATTAGATATTTAAAGGCGTGGTCAGAATATCTCTTTAGAAACAATCTAATTTGGGCTGGGTGTGGTGGCTCTTACCTATAATCCCAGCTACTTGGGAGGCTGAGGCCTGTACCACGTAGTAAGATCCCATCTCTTAAAAAAATATCAAGGAAATTGGCTGGTCATTGTGGTGCACACCTGTAGTCCCAGCTACTCTGGAGGCTGAGGAGGGAGGATTACTTGAGCCTAAGAGTACAAGACTGCAGTGAGCTAAATTTAAGTATGTGCTTTAGGACTTTAGCTTGGGTGACAGAGCAAGACTCCATTTCTAAAACAAAAGCAATCTAATCTGCAGGATGCTATGATCTATCTGTCTGAGATTATCGTAATGTATCTCCAGCCCCCATTTGTGGATGTCATTTATGAAGATCTCAATTATATCTGTAAGGTCCCCAAAACTTATGCATAAAAAAGAATCAGAAACTAAAAATCAAAAGAGATTTGTGACATTACAATACATATCAGTTATAATTTGCTTACAAAATACATTTATTTGATCACAAACTTGCCTCGTTATATAGCTTTTTATAAGTTGACACATTTTGTTTATTTAAAATGTTTTGGGCACTTATTTATGAATGAAGATGTCAAGTTTTATTTCCTTTGGGTTTAAATTTTTTTTCAGTCCTTAGCAGAATTTCAATTCAGTTTAGTTCCTAGATCAGCAGTACATTTATATTACAATTACCATAATTACTCACAGTAAAATACTGAACAGAATAGTTTTTAACATTGCATATGTTTCCAACCATTCCTCATGCTGAGCCTTAGGTATTCTCTACAACACATAAATTAATGTGTAAAAAATTGTACTTGTGAGTTGTAATATCCTCTTCTATTCTTTTAAAATAACCAATATAATACTTGTAAATCATTGTGTTTATTAAGTTATTTAATTCTGTGGCCATTTTTATAAATAAACTAGGATACATTTATTTTAAGTAAGTGCTTTCTTGAGTACTGTAATCCAACAGATTAGGTTACTAGATGGTCTCTTTATACTGAAGCACATGTGAAAAAATATCTAGACTTGCTTTGTCTTCATGTAATTGATGTAGTTGATCAAATGGACTTTGAAACCTCATCTAATGTCCAGTTTACTGGTTTTAATCTAACTATATTGCAGCAGCATATATTGATATTATATTTCACTGGAGAAAACTAAATCCTAGAAAGTAAAAATTTAGTCCATTTTGTTCTTTGTAATAAATATATTTATGATTGTCTTTATCCAAACAGTTTTATTTTAAAATAGACCTAAAGAAGGGAAAACCAGACAATAATACTCTATAGTGAGTGCTAAATTTGTAATTCTTATTTTAATTACCTTTTGTTTTCTCTGTTTCAAGGATAAAAATGGCAACAAAATTCATCACTATTTCTCCCAAACCCACTTTTATTCTGGAGTTTTTTGTTTCTGTTAATTGTATCATCATTCTCTGGTATTAATATTTTTTATAAATTTCACTGCCACTCTCTTGTTTAGTGCTGTCTTTTGCTTTGATTACCATATCTGTTCATTGAGTTTATGGCTAGTCTATTTCTTCCTCCAAACCGGTGGTTTTCAAAGTATGGTCAGTGGACGGGCAGCATCAGAATTATCTGTGAACTTGTTAGAGATGCACATTCTGGCTGAGCGTGGTGGCTCACACCTGTAATACCAATACTCTGGGAGGTTGAGGCAGGAGGATTGCTTGAGGCCAGGAGTTCAAGACCAGCCTGGGCAACATAGCCAAGACCACATCTCTACAAAAATTAAAAAAAAAAAAAATTAGCCAGACATGATGACATACACTGGTAGTCCTAGCTACTCAGGAGGCTAAGGCTCCTTGCTTGAGCTGAGGAGGTCAAGGCTGCAGTAAGTTGTGATCATACCACTGTAATCCAGCCTAGGGAACAGAGCAAGACCCCATCTCTAAAAAGAAAAGAAATGCACATTCTCAGGTCCCATCCTCGACCCAATAAATCAAAAGCTCTACCTGAGTTTCAGATTTAGTAGTTCCGTGTTGGGGTTCAACAATGTGTAGGGGTCCTATACGTATTAGCTCTCACTCCTTATTCCTCCAACTTGGTCATGGTATATAATTCTTTTTATAGATTCCTGGATTTTGTTTGCTAATATTTTATTGAGGATTTTTGCATTTATATTTATACAGGATATATGTCTGTCCTTTTCTTGTGATGTCTTTGTCTGATTTTGGTATCATAGTAATAGAATGAGCTGGGAAGTGTTCCCCCTTCTGTTTTTTTGGAAGAGTTTGTGATTATATACCATGATGAAGTGGGATTTATTCCAGGAATGCAAGTTTGGTTCAACGTGCTAAAACCAATCAATGTAATAGATTACTAGCATAAAGAACAAGAAAAGCATAATTATCTCAGTATATGGAGAAAAAAACATTGACAAAATTTAACAATCCTTTCATGATAAAAAAAAAAAAAACCAACAAATTAGGAATAGAAGGGAACTTCTCAACCTGAAAAAGGACACCTATGAAAAAGCCTCAGCTAATATCATACTTAATGATGAAACATTGAAAGCTTTACCCCTAAGATCAAGAAGAAGACGAGGATGTCCACTCTTACCACTCTTGTTCAACATTGTAGTGGCAGTTCTAGCCAGGGGCAGTTAAGCAAGAAAAAGAAATAAAAGGCAACCAGATTGGAAAGGAAAAATAAAACTATTTTCAGAAATCACATGATCTTATATATAGTAACTCCTAAAGAACCTCCCCTAAAATTTATTAGAGCTAATAAATGAATTCAGCAAAGTTGCAGGATACAATATCAATATACAAAAATTAATTATATTTTTATACACTAGGAATGAACAATCCTAAAATGAAATTAAGAACACAATTCTGGCTGGGCATGATGTCTCACGCCTGTAATCCCAGCACTTTGGGAGGCCAAAGCAGGAGGACCGCTTAGCCCGGGAGTTTAAGACCAGCCTAGGCAACATGGTGAAACCCCACCTCTACAAAAATTAAAAAAAAACAAAACGCCAGATGTCATGGCACGTGCCTGTAGTCCCAGCAACTTGGGAGGCTGAAGTGGGAGGATCACTTGATCCTGGGAGATTAAGGCTGCAGTGAGCTGTGATCATGCCACTGCACTCCAGCCTGGGCAACAGAGTGAGACCTTGTCTCAAAAAAAAAAAAAGAAAAAAGAATGTAATTTTATAATAACATAAAAATAAAATGTCTTGGAATAAATTTTATAAATTTAACAAAAGTACAAGACCTATAACCTGAAGACTACAAAGCACTGCTGAGAAAAATTACAGAAGACTTAGATAAATGGAAAGACATCCTTTGTTCCTGGATAGGAAGACCCAATATTGTTAAGATGGCAGTATTCCTCAGGTTGATCTACAGATTCATTACAGTCTCTAGCAAAACCCCAGCTGGATTAGTTATTTTTTTCTTTTTGCATAAATTGACGAGCTGATTCTAAAATTCACACGGAAATGCAAGAGAACCATAATAAACAAAACCATCTTGAAAAAAGAGAACAAAATGGAAAGATTCACATTTCCTGAGATACACTGGAAATATTGCAGATTTGGTTCCAGACCACTTCAACAAAGCCAATATTACGATAAAAGAGTCACACAAATTTTTTAGTTTCCCAGTACATATAAAAATTACATTTATACTATATTAATGTGCAGTACCATTATGTCTTAAAAATGTACATACCTTAATTTAAAAATATTTTATTACTGAAAAATGCTAGTAATGATCTGAGCATTTAGAAAGTCATAATCATTTTGCGGGTGGAGGATCATGCCTCGATGTTGATGGTTGCTGACTAATCAGGGTGGTGGTTGCTGAAGGTTGAGGTGGCTGTGGAAATTACTTAAGCTAAGACAACGAAGTTTCCTGCATCAATTGACTCTTCCACAAAATGTTTCTCTGTTGCATGTGATGCTATTTAATAGCATTTTACTTACAGTAGAACTCCTTTCAAAATTGGAGTCAGTCCTCTCAAATCCCTCCACTGCTTTATCAACTCAGTTTAGGTAATATCTAGGTTAATTGTTGTCATTTGTCATTTCAACAGTGTTCACAGCATTTTCACCAGAAGTGGAGTCCATCTCAAGAAACCACTTTCTTTGCTCATCCAAATGAGGATTTGCAAATCCTCACTTGTTCAAATTTTATCATGGGATTCCAGAAATTCAAGCTATACTTCTAATTCTAGTAGAATCTCTTCAAGCTCTACTTCTTTTTTTTTTTTTTTGAGATGGAGTCTTGCCCTGTTGCCCAGGCTGGAGTGCAGTGGTGTAATCTCGTCTCACTGCAGCCTCCACCTCGCGAGTTCAAGTGACTCTCCTGCGTCAGCCTCCTGAGTAGCTGAGATTACAGGCATGCACCACCACACCCAGCTAATTTTTTTTTCTGTATTGGTAGTAGAGACAGGGTTTCATCATGTTGGTCAGGCTGGTCTCAAACTCCTGACCTCAAATGATCTGCCTGCCTTGGCCTCCCAAAGTGCTAAGATTACAAGCATGAGCCACCGCGCCCGGCCTTCAAGCTCTACTTCTAATTCTAGTTCTTTCCTATTTCTACCACATCTGTAGTTACTTTCTCCATTGATGTCTTGAACACCACAAGTCATCCATGAGGGTTGGAATCAACTTCTTCCAAACTCCTATAATGTTATTTTAACCTCCGTTCATGATTTACTAATGTTCATAATGGCATCAAATTGTTGAATCCCTTCCAGAAAGTTTTTCATTTACTTTGCCCAGATCCATCAGAGGAATCACTATAGCTACAGCTTTATGAAGTGTATTTTTTATTTTTTATTTTATTTATTTACTTTTTGAGATGGAGTCTCGCTGTGCCACCCAGGCTCGAGTACAATGGTGTGGTCTTGGCTCGCTTCACCCTCTGCCTCCTGGGTTCAAGTGATTCTCCTGCCTCAGCTTCCTGAGTAGCTGGGACTACAGTTGCACGCCACCATGCCCGGCTAATTTTTGTATTTTTAGTAGAGACAAGGCTTCACCATGTTGATCAGGCTGGTCTTGAACTCCTGACCTCAAGTGATTCACCCATCTCGGCCTCCCAAAATGCTGGGATTACAGGTGTAAGCCACCACACCCAGCCCAAAGTGTATTTTTTAAATAATAAGACATGAAAGTCGAACTTACTCCCTGATCCATGGGCTGCAGTATGGATGTCATGTTAGCAGGCATGAAAACAACATTAATCTCCTCATACATCTCCATCAGAGCTCTTGGGTGATGAGGTACACTGTCAGTTAGCAGTAGTATTTTGAAAGGAATCTTTTTTTCTGAACAGTAGGTCTCAACAGTGGGCTTTAAATATTCAGTAAACCATGCTGTAAACTGATGTGCTATCATCCAGGCTTTCTTGTTCCATTTCTAAAGCACAGGCAGAGTAGACTTAGCACAATTTTTAAGGGCCGTAGGATCTTTGAAATGGTAAATGAGCACTGGCTTCAGCTTAAAGTCACCAGCTACACTAGCCTCTAACAAGAGTCAGCCTGTTCTTTGAAACTTTGAAGCCTGGACTTTATAGCTATGAAAGTCCTAGATCTTCTTCCAATAGAGGGCTGTTTCATCCATGGTGAAAATCTGTTGTTTAGTGTAGCCACCTTTATAAATTATCTAAGCTAGATCTTCTAGATAACTTGCAGCTTCTACATGAGCACTTGCTGCTTCACTTTGCACTTTTTTTTTCTTTTTGAGACAAGGTCTGGCTGTCACCCAGGCTGGAGTGCAGTGGTGTGATCTCTGCTCACTACAACCTCCACCCCAAGCTCAAGCCATCCTCCCACCTCAGCCTCCCAAGTAGCTAGGACTACAGGTGCACTCTACCACACCTGGCTAATGTTTGTATTTTTTGTAGAGATGGGGTTTGGCCATGTTTCCCAGGCTGGTCTTGAATTTGCTCAAGTGATCTGCCTTCTTCTCCCTTCAGAATGCTGGGATTACAGGCATGAGCCACCATGCCCAGCCCATTTTGCACTTTTATGTTATGAAGATGGCTTCTTTTCTTAAACCTCATGAATGAACCTCTGTTAGCTTCTGTAGCTTCCTCACTTCTGGCAGCCTTCATAAAATTAAAGAGGGTAGAGCATTGCTCTGGATTAGGCTTTGGCTTAAAGAAATGTTGTGGCTGGTTTGATCCTCTATCCAGACCACTAAACCTTTCTCCATATCAGCAATAAGGCTGTTTCACTTTCTTATCATTCGTGTGTTCACTAGAGTAGCACTTTGAATTTTTTTGCAGAAGCTTTTCCTCTGCATTCACAACTTGGCTGTTTGGCAGAAGAGGCCTACCTTTCAGCCTGTCTCAGCTTTTGATGTGCTCTCCTCATTAAGCTTAGTCATTTCTAGTTTTTAATTTAGAGTGAGAGACAATGACTCTTCCTTTCACTTGAACACTTAGAGGCTGTTGTAGAGGTATTAATTGGCCTAATTTCAATATTGTTTTGTTTCAGGAATAGAGAGGCCCCAGAAGAGGTAGAGAGACAGGGGAACAGGTGGTTGGTGGAGCACTTAGAACACTCACACATTCATTGATTAACTTTGTCCTCATATGGGCATGGTTTGTGGCATCCCCAAAGCAATTATAATAGTAACATCAAAGATTACTGATCACAGATCACCATAACAGATATAATAATCATGAAAAGTTTGAAATACTGTGAAAATTACCAAAATGTGGCACAGAGACATGAAGTAAGTGCATGCTGTTGGAAAAAATGGTGCCAATGGACTTGTTCTCAGGGTTGCCACAAACCTTCCATCTGTAAAAGAATGCAATATCTGCAAAACACAATAAAGCAAGCAATAAAACGAAGTGTGCCTGTACAACAAAGCTACAGTACTCAGGACTGTGTGATACTGAATAAGGATGGACCTACCAACCTATGGAATAGAACTGAGAGTCCAAAAAAAAAAAAAAACCTATACATCATGGACGGTTGATTTTTGACAAGAGTGTCAAGAGCATTCAATAGGGAAAGAACAGTCTTTTCAATCAGTGGTGCTTGAACAGCTGAATATCCACATGCCAAGGAATGAAGTTGAACTCTGATTGCACATTAAAATAATGGATGGGAGACCTAAATATAAGTGCTAAAACTTTAATGCTTGAATATGATACTAAAAGCACAAGCAACTAAAGGACAAATAGATATGTTGGACTTAATTAAAATTAAAAACATTTGTGCTTCAAAGGACACCATCAATAAAATGAAAAGACAAGTGTAACAGAAAGAAAATATTTGCAAATAATGTATCTGATAAGTGTCTAGTACCAAGAAAATAATGAAGAATGCTTACAACACAACAAGACAAATAATCCAATTTAAAAGTGGGCAAAGGATGTGAATAGTTTTTTTTTTTCCAAAGAAGGTATCCAAATGGCCAATGAGCACATGAAAAAATGTTTGACATTTTTAGTCATGAGGGAAATGAAAATCAAAACCCCAATGAAATACCACTTCAGATCCATTAGAATGGCTGTAAAAAAGACAATAACAAGTGTTGTCAAAATAAATTGGAATCTTCATACAAGAATGTAAGAATGAAAAAGATAACAGCCACTTTGGAAAACAGTTTGACAGTTCCTCAAAACGCTAAACAGTTGCCATGTGACCAAGCAACTTTTTCCTAATTATATATCCAAGAGAAACGAAAACATGTCCATGCAGAAACTTTGTACATGACTCTTCATAGCAGCATTATTCATAATAGCTAAAAGGTGGAAACAAACCAAACATCCATCAACTGATGAATGGATAAATGAAATATGCTAATTCATACAATGGAAAATTACTTGGCTGTAAAAAGAATGAAGTGTTAATACAATATGGATGAACTTCAAAAATATGGTAAGTATAGGAAGCCAGCCACAAAAAAACACACGTTATATGAGTCCATTTACAGGAAATGTCCAGAATAAGGAAGGAAATCTATAGAGACTGAAAGTAGATTAGTGGTTGCCTAAAGCTAGAAGGCATGGGAAGATTGGGAATGACAGCTAAAGGGTACAGGGGTCTTTTTGGTGTAATGAAAACATTCTAAAATTGATTGTGATGATTGTTGCACACCTCTGTGCAATCTACTAAAAACCATTAAATTGTACACTTTTAATGGGTAAATTGGATGGTATGTGAATTATATTTCAATAAATCTCTTGCCCAAAAAATAATAATGAATGATTGCTTTGCAAATTTCAGCATTTCAAATAACTTGTAAAGCAATGTATTATTCAGCAAGTGGTGTTAAAACTGCCTATTATTTTTTGGAAATAAATTTTAAAAAACTAATTTTCTAAATTTAAAAACTTGTTTGGAAAATACTAGGAATCATCAAAATGTTATTTGGAAAATATTTACTTAGAAATATACATCTAATTAAAATTAAAATTTTAGTTTTGATGGAATAAAATTTTAAAGGTGGCCGGGCGCGGTGGCTCACGCCTGTAATCCCAGCACTTTGGGAGGCCGAGGCGGGCGGATCACGAGGTCAGGAGATCGAGACCACGGTGAAACCCTGTCTCTACTAAAAATACAAAAAATTAGCCGGGCGCAGTGGCGGGCGCCTGTAGTCCCAGCTACTCTGGAGGCTGAGGCAGGAGAATGGCGTGAACCCGGAAGGCGGAGCTTGCAGTGAGCGGAGATCGCGCCACAGCACTCCCGCCTGGGCGACAGAACGAGACTCCGTCTCAAAAAAAAAAAAAAAAAAAAAAAAATTTAAAGGTACAAAAATAAATTATGAAAGTACTAAATAAAATTTGGGTAAATATATATTTTATACATTAATATTGTATATATGGGGTGGGCAAAGCTTTTCTAAACATGTAGCAAGGACAGAAATCATAAAGGAATACACTGATTAATGATATAATAAGGGAAAACTTACACATTTTTTTGAACATTAAAATTGAAGGAAAAATGATAAATTTGGACAAATGTTTGCAACATGGTGGGGAAATGATTAAAAAGTCAACATATGAAGTACTCTTAGCAATAAAAGACCATCTCTTCAGTAAAATACTAGGCATGAACATGCGTAGGCAGTTCAGTAAAGAATTACAAATAAAAACATGAAAAATATGTGGTATCTCACTAAAAATCAAAGAAATACAGTCGTTCATTGTTTAAGGTGATTTTGTCCTGTGAACATCATAGAGTGTACTTACACAAACCTAGATAGTATAGCCTACTACACACCCAGGCTATATGATATAGCCTATTGCTCCTAGGCTACAAACCTGTACTATGAGTGTACTGAATACTATAGGCAGTTGTAGCAGAATGGTAAGTTTTTGTGTATTTAAACATAGAAAAGGTACAGTAAAAATACAGTATTATAATCTCATGAGACCACAGTCATAAATGCAGTTCATCATTGACTGAAATGTCATTATTCAGCACAGGACTGTACTAATCAGATCATAACTATGTAAGGTGATGGACGTGCTAATTAGATTGTGGCAGTTATTTCACAACGTACACATATATCAAAACATCACGTTATATACCTTAAATATGTGCAATTTTTATTTGTCAAGTATATTTCAGTAAAGCTAAGGGGAAAAAAGAAATATTAATTAATGCAATGTTGAGATACCTTTTCTGCCTATCAAGTTGGTACATATTAAATTGGTGGCAATATGGGGATGTGGGCAGTCTTGTGCACTGCTGGTGGCAACATGTTGCAGGAGCAATTGCATGTCAACTTGGAAATACATATCAAAATCCTGAAAAATACATGTCTTAGGGTCTTAGGGCTGCCATAACAAAGTACTACAAACGAGGTTGCTTAACTCAACAGAGATTTATTTGTCCACAGTTCTGAAGTCTGTAAGTCCAAAATCAAACAGGTCCATGCTCCCCTGAAGGCTCTAGAAAAACACCCTTCCTTGCCTCTTCCTAGCAATGGTTGTTTCCTGCAATCCTTGCATTCCTTGGCCTGCAGTTGCATCACTCCAGTTGCTGCCTCTGTCTTCACATGGCCTTTTTCCCTCTGTATGTGTCTCCGTATCCCTTTCTTCTTTCTCTTATAAAAACACCAGTACAGCCAGGTGCGGTGGCTTACGCCTGTAATCCCAGCACTTTGGGAGGCCAAGTTGGGTGGATCACTTGAGGCCAGGAGTTTGAGACCAGCCTGGCCAACATGGTGAAACCCTGTCTCTCCTAAAAACATAAAAATTAGCTGGGCTTGATGATGTGCACCTATAACCCCAGCTACTCAGGAGGCTGAGGCAGGAAAATCACTTGAACCCAGGGGGCAGAAGTTGCAGTGAGCCGAGACCGTGCCACTGCATTCCAGCCTGAGTGACAGAGCAAGATTCCATCTCAAAACAAACAAAAAACACCAGTCATTGAATTTAGGGCCTACTCTAATCCACTGTGACCTCATCTTAACTAATTCCATCTGCAAGACCCTATTGTGTTCATGTAAATTGAACATTTTTATATGAAAAAAGACTATATACAAAGATCAAAGATAAATGACAAAATGGAAAAAATGCACACCATAAATACGATTTTTGACCACCTGTAGCTTCTAAATTTCTCCAATAAAGAAGGCTTATTTTTGTGAGAGAAAACTGAGAACTGTTACTTTAAAATAAATGCTCTGTGAAACACAAGAGACTAAATATTACAATGGAGAGGATCGATGTATTAAGATAAAACTACCTTCTTACAAAACCATGCTGTTTTACTTAAATACCCCTCTCCCATCCCAACTTGTCACCACGATAATGAATGACTGAAAAGGCCTCTCACAGTCCCCGTTGGGGAAACACCTCGGGATTCACTAACAGAGTCTAGGACAGAGCTGGGCACATAGACATTTGAGAAGCTACCTGGTATAATGGAAAACGCCAGTCTAAGTGTAGTGGCTCATGCCTGTAATCCCAACACTTTCAGAAGTCAAGGTGAAAAGATAATTTGAGGAGAGGAGTTTGAGGCCAGCCTAGACAACATAGTGAAACTCTGTTTCTAAAACAATTTTTTTTTAATTAGCCAGGCATGGTGGTACACACCTGTAGTTCTAGCAAGACGGTAGGATCGCTTGAGCCCAGGAGTTTAAGGTTACAGTGAGCTATGACTATGTCGCTGTACTCCAGCCTGAGCAACACAGTGAGACCCTGTCTCAAAAAAAAAAAAAAAAAAAAAAAGAAGAAAAAGAAAGAAAAGGCCCATGTGCCTGAATCTAGATGCTCCCTATTTAAAGGTGAACATCTATAGGTCAGTCACTTAACCTCTTGATCAAGAAACCTTTACAAGCTGAGGACTATAGATGATATATATAATGTTCCAAGCAGATATTATTGATAAATACTTCTGGAATAAATACATCTTGGTATTTGTATTTGTAGTTACTGAGGTGTCAAGCGGGGGGAATTTCACAGATGAGGACAGAGTTTAGGGACTTTGTCACAAACTTCAGAATTGTTAGTTCAACAAATGTTTATTGGGTATCTGCCATGTTACAGGCCCTATCCTAACTGCTGTGAATGCTGTCTGATTCACAAAACCCCTCCTGGGTTGGAGCTTTCTTTCTGGCACAGTCTCTGGAGGACATCACACAGTGTTGTGGTGGGGTGCATTTACTCTTGGATTTGAGAGCATCTACCTCCTCAATCTGTTGAGCTTTCTTTCATCTAGCTTTATCTCCCATGTCCCTGTGATGTACTGAATATTTTCTTCGGTTAATGTCAAACACCTTTCCCTTCAATGTTTTTAATGAACATTTATTTGATTTTGCATAAGAGTTGGATAGAAAATTAATAGCACAACTTTATAGCCTTGAAATTTTTCAGGGCTTCAAAATTCCCATTGAAGATATGCTGAGCATCTTCAACGAGTGCAGAATTGTCTTTATTTTTGGAAAGATAAATTCAGTTATGAATCCTCAGCAAGTTTAATTGCCAAAGAAATGTTCTTCAAAAATACAAAATTAGAAACAAAAATGAGGAAACAACCACAAATACAGGAAAAGTTAAATGAACTTCAAGTGAATACTTCGATCAATTCTATGCCAATAAATTTGAACTCATAGGATGAGATAATGATTCTTAGGATAATATAAACTTCCCAAATAAAACAATCTATAGAGATTTCTAAAAAATAGACCAATTACCATAGAGGAAATGGAGAAAGCTGTCAACGAACTACAACTGTAAATGTTTCCAGGTCAACTCTGTGAAAACAGGTAACTTTAATCCTACTTTGAACTATGCCAGAGAAACAGAAATAAGGAAAACTTCCAAATTCTTTTCATATATTTATGATTACATTGAAACAAAAACCTATAATAACATATATATACAGATGAAAGTTACAGGACAGCTTCTCTTCAAGAATATTTACTTAAAATCCAAAATGAAATTAGTAATCTCAGTGATGACGGTATCAGAGGTTTCTAAATTTTATTTTTGCTTATCTCTATTTTCTAAAAACCTTTTTCAGACAGTCACATACCTCATCTTGTAAGTCTGAGGCATTGTGATAGTGGAGATCTTGTTTCAGAGATTACAATATATGTTTTTATAGATAATGGGTCTGTCTTCAAAGTGGGTCTAATTATATAAATTTTCACAGATTGATTTCATAAAAATTAATTTTTTTATGTAGTAAATGTACCACAAATAAAGACAAGAAAAATCAGGAGGGAAACTGGGATTGTGAGACAATTTTTTTTTAACTATATGAAGACTTTTAAACATCAATGAGAAAATGACCAAGATAGGCAAAGATCATGGATGGTCAGTTTGCAGAAAAGAAATGTTCATTTAAAAATGTAAATTAAAATAAGAAGCTCCATGTTTCACCATCAGAAAAGTTTAATTGTAGCCTTTTTGTTTGTTTGTTTGTTGTTTTTTTTTTTTTTAAGGAGATGGGGAAAGGTGCTTTCATGAACTCTCATGCAGGTTCTTTGGAATACCATAATTACAGTTTTTGAAAATACATGCCAGCTTTTATTCCTGTTCTCACACATGTGTGCATAGATGCTGGTACAAGGAAGTTTGTTGCTCTTTTGTTTGTAATTGCAAAAGACTAGAAACTTCTATAATGTTTTTCATTAGAGGACCAACTGATAAATTTTGACACAGCTATGCAGTGAGCATTCAAAAGAATGAGACCTCTATCTGTACACATGAGAGCACTAAGATATTTTGGTTAGTGAAAGAACAAAGCAATAAACAGAAGAGTGTGCTCACATTCTTGTTAAGATAGAGTATAGAGAATATCTGGAAGAATGCACAATGACTGTTAAGCATAACTGCCTGGGGTAAGGGTCAGTCAGAGGGAGACATTTCATTTTGTAACCTTTCCCACTGTTTGCATTTTTACGTTGTGTGTCTATTATGCTTTATTTTTGTTGTTTTTTTTTTGAAGGGAAACAAAGCTTATTGCTTTCTTAAGCTTTTATCATATATTTCCAAATTATACTAAATAAGTAATAAAAATGTATCATTCCGACAGCTGTGTGTGAAAGAGCCTATTTTTTGCAGATACTTGTCTGCACGGGATATTGGCTGTGATTTTCATTTTTAGCAGTTTAATTTTGCCAGCACCTTTGGTATCTAGTTTGTTTGAACATTTCATCACATATTTGTGGGCCATTTTATTTCTTCATTTGTGACTCACTGATTCGTCTTTTTTAAATTTTTTAATTTTTTTTTTTTTTTTTTTGTGAGATGGAGTTTTGCTCTTGTTGCCCAGGCTAGAGTGTGGTGGTACAGTCTTGGCTCACTGCAACCTCCTTCTACCAGTTTCAAGCAATTCTCCTGCCTCAGCCTCCCAAGTAGCTGGGATTACAGGCGTGCACCACCATGCCCAGCCAATTTTGTATTTTTAGTACAGACGGGGTTTTACCATGTTGGTAAGGCTGGTGTCAAACTCCTGACCTCAAGTCAGCCACCATGCCTGGAGTGTTGTTTTTTTTTAATTGTTTTAATTTTTGTGGATACATAGTAGGTATATATATTTAAGAGGTACATGAGATGAGTTTTGATGCAGGCATGCAAAGTGACATAAGCACATCATGGAGAATGGGGAATCTATCCCCTCAAGCATTTATCCTTTGAGTTACAAACAATCCAGTTATACTCTTTAAGTTATTTTAAAATGTACAATTAAGTTGTTATTGACTAGAGTCACCCTACTGTGCTATCAAATAATAGGTCTTATTCATTCTTTTTATTTTTATTTTTTGTACTCATTAACCATCCCCACCTCCCCCACAGCCCTCCACTACCCTTCCTAGCTTCTGGTAACCATCCTTCTACTCTCTATCCATGAGTTCAATTGTTTTGATTTTTAGATCTCTCAAATAAGTGAGAACATGTAACCATTGTCTTTCTATGCCTTGCTTATTTCACTTAACTTAATGATCTCCAGTTCCGTCCATGATGTTGCAAATGATGGGATCTCATTCTTTTTTATAGCTCAATAGTACTCTATTGTATATATGTACCCCATTTTCTTTATCCATTCATCTGTTGATGGACACTTAGGTCACTTCCAAATCTTACCTATTGAAAACAGTGCTGCAACAAATACAGGAGTGCAGACGTTTCTTTGATATACTGATTTCTTTTCTTTTGGGTATATACCCAGCAGTGGGATTGCTGAATCGGATGGTAGCTAAATTTTTAGTTTTTTGAGTAACTACATTGTTCTCCAGTTTAGTTACTCAAAACTGTTCTCCAAACTGTTCTCCCTAGTGGTTGTACTAATTTACACTCCCACCAAGAGTGTACAAGGATTCCCTTTTCTCTACATCCTTGCCAGCATTTGTTATTGTCTGTCTTTTGAATAAAAGCCATTTTAACTGGGGTGAGATGATATCTCATTGTAGTTTTGATTTGCATTTCTCTGATGATCAGTGATATTGAGTACCTTTTCATATGCCTGTTTGCCATTTGTATGTCTTGATTATTAATTTTTAATTAGAATAGCAGTGTGACTTCAGATGTGCCTCAGTTCCCTCACCTGTAAAATGAGAATTATAATAGAGCCTGTCTCCTTGGGTTATGAGGAGTAATGAGTTAATATATGGAAAGCTCCTAGGATAGTTCCTTGCATATGGTAAGCCTTCAGTGAATGTTTGCTCTTGTTATTATGAACATAGTTTTGAAAATCAAATTGCACTGTACTTTTATTTGAGGGTAAGGAGTAGTACTCCACTGCTCCAAACCCTTGTGCCACCCAGAGATAACTGGTTTTAACTATTTTTAGGGCTTTTTTTTTTTTCTGGTTTTTACCTCTGTGTTTCTAAACAATAGGTTTTCTGATGTATGCAGTTGAGATACTGTTGACCACCTATGATGGATTATATGGACTTAGCTTTCTTGCACCACACCATCCTACCCCATTTTCCTCTCTTTATTCTTTAAATAAATATGATTCTATCATAATTTTTGGATAAATTAATATTGAGTGCTCAACTTACTTTAACTATGTAAAGTACTGTTCACTTCTATAACTTATTTTCCTTGAGGTAAGAATCATCTCCCTTTTTTATTTTCTTACTTTCCTGTACCTTTCCTGTGTACCTTTCTCTTATTTTTCCAAAATTCTCCTGCAGAATTGTAAAACCCATTTGTATACTGTTTGTCATATGACCATTCTCAATAGGTAGTCATTTAGTTCCACATTTCTCTCATTCTTTTTAAAAATTTCTTAGCCAGGCATGGTGGCTCACGCCTGGGATCCCAGCACTTTGGGAGGCTGAGGCAGGCAGATCCCTTGAGCCCAGGAGTTTGGGACCAGCCTGGGCAACATATTGAGAATCTGTCTCTACAAAAAATACAAAAATTAGCTGGGCATGGTAGCATGTGCCTGTAGTCCCAGCTACTTGGGGGGCTAAGGCAGAAGGATCACTTGAGCCTGGGAGGTTGAGGCTGCAGTGAGCCAAGATCACACCACTGCACTTTAGCCTGGGTGACAGAGTGAGACCCTGTGTCAAAAAAATAAGATCAAATAAAAATTTCGTGGGACACCCTTGCTGGGCCCCATCTGCCTACTTCTCATACTGAACTGGATGCACCTTAGGCCTGCTGCATCTTTCTTGTGTTGAGTACCTTGTTTCCTTGATCCCATGCCTTCCTCTTTCTTAATTTATTTCTTTGTTTTGTTGGAGTACATCCTCAAATAGCTTTCCGAGAATGGGTGAATGGGAAATAGAATTTGTAGGCCCATGTATAGATCAGAGTTCTATTTCTGAGGATTTAACACACTCTAATCATGTTACTTGAAACAAGTTTACTATTTGTTAACCAGTGTCCATAAAATATTGTAGGACTGTACCTCCATCATTTCTTTCAAGAGAAATAAACAATCAGATGTTCTGCCCAGAGTTATGCTCAATGAGCTCAAATTTGCTCATCCATCAAAACTGATCATAGGCTTTAAGAACCTCCTGGCACACTGCAGAGTATTCCTTGGGGTCTGTATATCCCAGTATGAGGAAAACCAACCCAGATTAACAACTGCATTTTAGCACAAGATGGGGCAGGTGGTGGTATAAAAAGAGAAGGTGCCTTGGGAGTGTGAGCCATTTGCTTCTGAAATTTATTTGCCAACAAGTCCTGCTTCAGCCCTGTAAATCCCAACTTTATGTTTTAGTGAGTCAAAATAGCCCAGCATACAGTGGGTAAAATGGTAAATTGATGTTGCATGTTCAGGCATTCAGACCCTACTGGGACCCAGTAACAAACCACTTGTTTCTCAAAAGGAGAATAGTCACTTGCCAAAGAAAGCATGGGTTTGCTTTATACCATCAGGGCTCTCTCTGGGCTCCATATATCCGCTGATCTGTCATAGACTCTTGTTTGTTATTGAAGCCACTGAGCCATAGAGATGAATTGAGACAGCTTCCTGCTCTGTAGCCTTGAGCAGGTTTTCCTGCTCTGATTGCTACTGAAAGCTGGCAGGTTCTGGGTTACTCAGTATATTGATCAGAGAAGCAATCCCAAATGTCAGTATATGTTTCCTCCAAAATGTGAAGACGCTATACTTTCAGGATCTGTAGGAACAATCGTGAAGAGAGTTCATGGACTCCCTGGGCCTATTGTGACACTAACTTGGACCAAAACTTCATTTTCCCCTGACCCCCATGAGCTCTCATTCTAAGCACAGGTGTACTTAGAGTCCCCAGGGATTAGCATTAGCGTAGAGCCAGTGTTCAATACTATTCTGAATATCTGCCCTTTCTGCTCTATACTACTCTGCTACATGTCGGCATGTTCTGCTGGGAAAGGCTAGATTTTCAGTAGGTAGGACTTGAGGTTCTACCACAAGGGCTTTAAGTATAAACCAGCCCCCTCACCCTTCCTCTAAGGAGCTTTGGGCCTGGGATTGGCTGAGGAGTCCTACCTTACATCACAGTGACTCATAGACTTCATTTCATCAAACCTCAAGTGTTTTTATACTTTCAGGTATGTAAATAAAGAAGAACCTTAGAAGGTTATCTATTTATTTTAATCTTAGATGTCCTGTGATCTCAGCCACTGTCAAAGATCCCTGTGGCTCAAGTCATTTTTCATATGTTCACACATTCTTTTATTTTTTATTTATTATTATTTTTTTTTAGAGAAAGGGTCTTGCTCTGTCACCCAGGCTGGAGTGCAGTGGCACAATCATAGCTCACTGTAACCTCAAACTCCAGGGCTCAAGCTATCCTCACCTCTCAATCTCCTGACTAACTATGACTAAAGACATATACCAGTACACCCAGCTAATTAAAAAAATATGTTCTGTAGACAGAGGGTCTTGCTATGTTGCCCTGGCTAGTCTCGAACTCCTGGGTTCAAGCAGTCCCCCTGCCTTGGCCTCCGAAGGCTCTAGGATTACAGGTGTGAGCCACTGCGCCTGGCCTATGTTCACAAATTCTGTGGGTCAGAAATTTATAAAGGACACAGAGAAGAATATAGTCTGAGGTCCTCTCCACATAGGCCTTTCATGTGATCTCTCATTATGGGCCAGTTTGGGTTTCCTTGTAGAATACTGTCTGGAGACCAAGGATGAGCATTCTCGAGAGAGATGCAAGCAGGTGCTTTATCACCTTTTCTGATCTAACCTTGAAGTCACACTGAATCATTGCTGTAATCAATGGCTCATTTATGTGCTAAGGAAGAGAAGCTAGACCTCCACCTCTCAATTGAGGAGTGCCAACATCACATTGTAAGAGTATGTGAAATGGGATGTATATTAATGCAGCTCTCTTTAGAAAACATATTCTGCTACAAATAGGAAGCACCAGTTTTTTTTATCATCACCATACTGGTTCTAGAGGACTTACAATAGACAGGGCTTGTTGATCCCCTTCATGCAGAAATGATGGTTGTAATATTTCATTGTATATATATCCATACATACACACATTGAATTTGTGTACCTTACAGTACACAATATAGCTACAAATAATGCCATCAATGAAGCCATCTGAATGTGTGCATGAACATTTAAGAAAGTTTTATTTCATTTCAGTGTCATAAGAGTATTGACCATCTCCATTAGAGAAATGCAAATCAAAACCACAATGAGATACCATCTCACACCAGTTAGAATGGCAGTCATTAAAAAGTCAGGAAATAACAGATGCTGGAGAGGATGTGGAGAAATAGGAATGCTTTTACACTGTTGGTGGGAGTGTACATTAGTTCAACCATTGTGGAAGACAATGTGGTGATTCCTCAAGGATCTAGAACCAGAAATACCATTTGACCCAGCAAATGGTATACTGGGTATACTGGGTGTATACCCAAAGGATTATAAATCATTCTATAAAGACACATGCACACGTTTGTTTATTGCAGCACTGTTCACAATAGCAAAAACTTGGAACCAACCTAAATGCCCATCAATGATAGACTGGATAAAGAAAATGTGGCACGTATACACCATGGAATACTAATGCAGCCATAAAAAAAGATGAGTTCATGTCCTTTGCAGGGACATGGATGAAGCTGGAAACCATCATTCTCAGCAAACTAACACAGGAACAGAAAACCAAACACTGCATGTTCTCACTCATAAGTGGAAGTTGAAAAATGAGAACATAGGGACATAGGGAGGGCAACATCACACACTGGGGCCTGTTGGGGAGTGGGAAACTCGGGGAGAAATAGCATTAGGAGAAATACCTACTATAGATGAGGGGTTGATGGGTGCAGCAAACCACCATGGCACATGTATGTCTATGTAACAAACCTGCATGTTCTGCACATGTATCCCATAAAATATAATAAAAAAATAATAAAATTTAAAGAAAGAGTATTGGCCATCTCCTCAGGATTTTAAATTCTGATCAGGAGTTATTAAACAAATGTTTATAGGCCCTGTCATGTTTGTTATAATTATTAATAACTATTGAACTTCTTCCAGATTAAAATTTCTTGTTTTGGTGTGATTGCTTCTATTTGGATTCAACTTCTATTTTTGGCAAAGACTGTGTGTTTTTATTTTATTTTATTTATTTTATTTTATTTTTGAGAAAGAGTCTCACTCTGTCGCCCAGACTGGAGTGCAGTGGCGCGATCTCGGCTCACTACAACCTCTGCCTCCCGGGTTCAAGCGATTCTCCTGCCTCAGCCTCCTAAGTAGCTGGGATTACAGGCTCCTGCCACCATGCCTAGCTAATTTTTGTTGTTTTAGTAGAGAAGGAGTTTCACCATCTTGGCCAGCCTGATCTTGAACTCCTGACCTTGTGACCCACCCGCCTTGGCCCCCCAAAGTGCTGGGATTACAGGTGTGAGCCACCACGCCCCGCCGTGTTTTTATTTTCTAACTCTAAAACTAAATGAACTATTTTGAAGATGGAATGCCATGCCGAACTTTTCAGTCTTAATAATATAACCAACCTTAGCAGTCTGCCTGAATGCAGAAGTTAAGTGAATATTATTAAATTCCAAAAATCCAGATATCATATCAACATATGATAGTAAATTCTAACTAAAAAAACTATGCATTGGAGCGTGGGTGTATTCTCTGGGAGGTAGTGAGCAACTTTTTACAGAAACATTTAAGGAGAGAGGAACAATTCTTCAGTGAATAGTAGGTCAGATAATTTGGGCATTTTCCAACGCCATCTCCTATGCCCCTTGTCCTCCAAGGCACATTAGATGACTCAGTCTTTCTGGAACATCCATACACAGCCTCTGTACATTCCATTTCTTCTTGGGATGTCACCTTCCCAGCCCATTCTCTGACAAGCAAATTCCTGTTCAGCCTTAAAGACACAAATCAAGTCATCTCTTCTGTGAAGCCTTCTCTTATACTCTGGAGGCCAAAATATTCATGTCTTCTTTTGTAGTCACAAAGCACTTTGTAAATATGCTACTATTACTACACTGCTTGCTTCGGGGGAGGTGGAGAGGGAGAGAGAGGGAGAAGGGAGTGAGTAATAGCTAATCTTTGTTTCCTATGCAGTACTCAGCAATCAAGAATAGTTTATTGCATAAATTATCAATTCTAAAAATCTGTCATTCCAAGGGCAGGAGAGCTGTTAATAATGCAGATTCCTAGTCTTAATCACACTTTGAGGAGGGTGGATCTTTTTGACAAGCAGTTCAAGTGATCTGTGGAACAGACTTTGACCATCTCTGCTCTAGGCTGGGCACTACTCTTTCTGCCCAGCCTACTCTTGCCTAAGAGCTCATTTTAGCTTCTCCTGTTCTTAGTTAACCTTGCTTTTCACATTTTCTAAGCCATTTATTTAACTCTGAATTCTTCCATAAGATTACTTTCATTTAGCTTTCAGATGTGGATAAACATTCTGGACTACCTGCCCTAGAATTTAGTTTTTTAGCTGACATATAATTTCGTATATATTTGTTCAATTAACCTACATTCATAAGGACTCTGTATGTGTGTATGTGTGTGTGTGTGCGCGCCCATGCACATATGCACCCACAACATTTGAAACATTATGGAGTTTATTTATTTATTTATTTTTGAGATAGGATCTTGCTCTGTTTCCCAGGCTGGAGTACAGTGGGACGATCACGGCTCACTGCAGCCTTGACTTCCTGGTCTCAAGCAGTCCTCCCACTTCAGCTTTCTGAGTAGCGGTGACTACAGGTGTGTACTACCATGCCTGGCTGATTATTTAATACTTTGTAAAGATGAGATCTCACTTTGTTGCCCAGTGTGGTCTTGAACTCCTGAGCTCAAGTGATCCTCCTGCCTCATCCTCCCAACATGTTGGGATTACAGGCTTGAGCCACTGCACCTGACTGTTAATGGAGTTTATAAATGGCTCAGTTATACTTTTTATTTCACAGTGTTTTCTGATTATATGCTCATACTGTCAAAAGTATCACTAAAATTACAATGATAGCTGACAGATATTTCTTATAGGAGTTCAGAAAATGAGGGATTATGGTATAAAATATAATTAAACATGTGTTCCAGTAGATAATGTTTTAAGAATTCATTTTGTAACCAAATTTATTTGGAAATCATTTAATCAGCTGCATGCATGTTTTCAGCTGTATTATGTCTTTCAGTACTACCCTCCCTAACCAAATGAAGTCAATGGAAAACTGGAGAAACAAATTTCCTCATTTCTGTTTCTTAGATAATTCCTAACATAGAACCCAGTCCCTGATATTTAACTAAGTAGACCACAGGATTTATGCAATAATCTTTAAATGATTCAGTAACAGAAGAAAGTTAATTCTGCCTACTCTGCCCAAATGATTGAAATGCAGTCCTCTCAAGACACTTATCACAAAGAACCTACTCAAAAACGATTCTATTAAAATATAAATCCCATTGTGGTTGGCAGAAAAAAAAATGCTGTTATAAATCTTGACAAACCCTAACATATGATAATGGAAAACTAAGTAATAATAAGTACGTAATCAAGCATTCCATGTTGTGTGATGATACTGTCTTTTCTTAATAAACTCATTGGAAGACTTTATGTTATTCTTGTCAGGATAGCCCACTCGGTTCCATGAACTTTGTTCATGAATGCAAAAGTTCAAAAAATCTTTTTCGAAAATATTTTTTCAAAGAAGTTATTTCATCCAAGTTCAGGCAGCAAACAATATGGGCTCTAGTGAAGGTTATTTGTGCAATAATGATATTAGAAGCCTGGAAATGCTGCCTTTGCAAATGAAAAACAAAATAGGTCAGAACTATATGAAGAAATTTCTCTAAGGAAATGCTATTGTCCTCCATGACCAAAGGCATTATGTCTATAAATTCACCTAAGTGAAATTACATCCATGGCACCGGAAACCAACCCTGAAGCCAAATTGAAACAGGAGGGAACAAGCAAAGACTTACAGTGCATTTCTCTGAGGATGTACCAGGAAGACAAAGGACTGCAACAGACTTGCCTCAACCCATCAGCTCTCAGGAGGACTACATCAATTCCATTCCAATAAAAATACTACACTGGTGCTCCAAGAGAGGGATGCAGAGGGCAGGGGATCTCCTTGTCCTAAATCAGGAGCTCCAAAGAGAGAAGACTAGGAATCCCTAAAGATAGAGATATGGAAAGCAGTAGTTAGGACCACTCTGCAGTCTGAATCCCAGCTTTTCCATTTGCCATTGGGACCTTGAGAAAGTTTTCTTCTTCTTTTAGACAGAGTCTTGCTCTGTCACCGAAGCTGGAGTGCAAGTGGTATAATCTCAGCTCACTGCAGCCTCCGCCTCCTGGGTTTAAGTGATTCTCTTGTCTCAGCCTCCCAAGTAGCTGGGATTATGGGTGTGTGCCACCACGCCCTGCTAATTTTTGTATTTTCAGTAGAGATGGGGTTTTACCCTGCTGTCCAGGCTGGTCTCAAACTCCTGACCTCAAGTGATCTGCCCGCCTCAACCTCCCAAAGTGTTGGAATTACAGGCGTGAGCCATGGTACCTGGCCAAGAAAGTTTTCTTAAGTCCCTCTGTCCCTCAGTTTCCTCATCCAAAAATGGAAGTAATTATAATATTTGCTCGTTTGAATTAATGCAACACTTGACATATAGTCAATAAATGCTGGTTGTGATGATGACGTTACCATGTAGGTTGTTATTTGTGGTCCTCCCCAAATGAGAGACATCCATGGTGGAACTATTATGAAGCCTCGAAAACCACCAGGCTTGAACAATCTAGAAATAAAAGGCATTTGTGTGACTGGATTCTCGAGTTCTTTTTCCAGCACCGTGCTTTGGACTTTCATTTCTAATTTATGTAAAAATTCTGGCAATCTACGATGATACACTAAGTGAATTGAGAAGGAATCTAGGGAGGATCTGAGTTAGGCTTCACGGTAACTTGAGAATAAAGATTTAAGGAAATGGAGCCATAATGATTTTTAAGAATTTGATGTTTGCCTTAAAATGTAGCTTTTCAGACCAGGTGTGATGGCTCACACCTGTAACCCCAGCACTCTTAGAGGCCAGGGTGGGACAATTGAGCCCAGGAGTTCGAGACCAGCCTGGACAACCAAAGGAGACAGACACCTTCTCTACAAAAAATTAGCTGGGTGTGGTGGAGTAGCTGTAGTCCTAGCTACTCAAGAGGCTAGGCAGCAGGATTGCTTGAGCCCCAAGAGTTCAAGGCTGCAGTTAGCTATGATCTCACCACAGCACTCCAGCCTGGGTCACAGAGCAAGTCCTTGACTCTTGAAAAAAAATTCTTTCCAGGCAATGTTAGTTTTAAAAAGTTGCTAGAGTATTGTTAAGTATAGATCACTTAATCTATGTCACTCTTTGGAAAGAATGCAGTGCATAAAAAGAATACTCAAATTTTGATCTCAGATTATTTTCTCCAATGTAAAAAAGTACTTTCCATCCAAAAATCCATCCACACAACCTCAGACTTTCCAAAAAAGCAAGAATTTTTTTAAAAATCTCACATGAAACTTCAGCATACCTAATACAGAACTTTACACACTCAGTGAAAGTTTTTGACCTTTTCAGAAGCATGTCAATGTAATTCTTCTGGTCAAATCTTAGGTTATCATTTGAGAGAGACATTTCTTTTAAACCCATTTCTCCCCAAAAAACTAAATAGCAAAGAATTCAAACTGAGTTAACTTAGAAATATTTAAAATCTGTTTTGATTACATGTGGTTATGAATTGTTCTTTCCTAACGCACTTAGTATATCTCTTGTGTCAAGTATTTACCCATTGCAAAAAGGGCTCTGATGAATTTTTAGGCCTTCACACTTCACAGCTTCTACCTCCAAATTGGGAAATTTCTCCTTCGTAGAAGAGCACAATAAATTGGCACTTGCTCACACTTTATAAACTAATTGACTATAATGTAGAAAAATATATATTTTAATAGAAGGAAACAAAATATCCAACACCTTAGAGAAAGTAAGCAATAAGAAAATCATGGTTCTCTTGTGAACATTTTTCTAATGCAAAGTGCTGGCCCCTAAGGAAGGACCTACCACACTCCTCCTCTTTGCTGGCTGGAATACTGGCTTAGTCAGGGTTCCCAGCCATCTCCCCAGTGGGCAGGATCTCTTCTGGGAAAAATACTGTGACAGTGTTTGTAGTCCTGCCTTCTGCTGGGTTCTTTCTTGGTGTACCTCCAAGAATAGAATCATAGAAATGTAGAGCTAGAAATTATTTTGGAGATTTTGCATATTTGAAAAAATGAAGTCCAGAAAAGGGAAGTAATTTACCCAAGGCCTAACACCTAATAGACAATAGGACTGGAGCCCTATCTAATGGTCTCCATTGCTTCCAAACCCAACTGCTGCTTTGGAAGAACTCAGAATCCATAATTTCACAGACATTTTTAGCTTCGTATTATTGTTATTAATAGATGTAGAACTATATGTGCAGAAGATAAACATTCAGTGATTCAATCATTAAAATAACATTTGCATAACATGTTGTGAATGTATTGTATATAATAGACAACCAAATTTACTAAAATTTATAATGTCTATATTTTTTAAAAGTTTAAACACTGTGAAAATAATGTCATCATCTTGAATAAAAATGTATCCGTGTTATCATTAACGAATTCAACCAACATTTTTGCAGTTTCACCATTAGCAGACATAGTCATAAGTGTGAAAATATAGAAAAGACAGAAAACAGGTCTTGTTCTCACCTCGCCAGCAAATTGGGAAGGCTGACATAAAACAGGCAAGTATGATACTGTGTGTTTCCAGCTGTGATATCACGTGGCGTGAGTCCCATGGCAGCACAAATGAGGGGCACTTAACTGTGGTAGAAGAAAAAGAAGGCTCCCTCAAGTAGGTAACACCAAACTTGAAGCTTAAAATAAAGGAGATTTAGGAACAAAGGGCATTAAAAGGAGAGAGAACAGCCTGTGCCAAGCAAGTAGGTTGACAGCACGTGGCAGATTTGGAGAGCAAGTACATCCATATGGCTGCATCCCAGAATTAAATGAGGGTGAAGACAGGCAGGGACCAGATCACAAAGAGCTTTGTGCATCATGCTAAAACATTTCAGTTTTACCAGAAAATAGTGAGAAGGTGTTGAATAATTGTATGCTGTAAATTAAACAATGTGACTGAAATTATACTATAAAACTCTATGTTGTGTTGGTTTGGTTTTTCCCTGCTCCTTAATATCAGATACCTTGGTAGAACACCTAAGAGTAGAATGTGGTAAGACCACCAGAATCTAGTTGTGGTTGTAGAGCTGACGAAAATCTCAATGTCTGCATCTATAAAATGGAAATTGTTATAGGGTTGTAAAAAGTACACAAGTTAAGTCCTGTTAAGCATTTGCGTCTGCTGTATTGCAAACACTCAATAAATAGAAACTGGCATCATCTTCGTCATCGTTGTAAAAAGCTGAATTGCAGAAAATGGATTAGAATGCCGAGAGTTCATTTTAACATCTGGACTTAAGAACAGTTGTCTGATTCTGCTTAATCTATATTGCTTACGATAATAGAGCTCCTTTAAGAGAACTACTTTGTCAGAGGCATGGCTAGGAAAAGACATCAGTTAGCAAAATACACTGATTATGTATTTGAAAGGAAATTTTCCACTGATTTTGTTGTCCAAGAGAATGTACGAAAAGAAAACTTGGGTTTCAGCAGTTAGGAGCAGTATCCTGAGAAGAGCTATGTGCTTGAATTTATTAGTTACAGGTAGAAGACAGAAATGCCAAGGTTCATAGATAGCAATTGGGGATAAAAATAAACTTTTTTATGCCTCCCTCTGTTGACGGACAGGTCACCAAAAGAGAGAGTATATTATGCTTTTAATTTGCTATTACATGGTAACTAATAGTTTATAAAATACCCTTACACCATAATGACTGAAGTTTATTTTTTGCTGTGTTTTTGTATTTGGAATACTTTCTGTCCTTGTGCCAAATTGGAAATTTGGAATATAGTTTAGTAATTTCAATTTGGTTGTATTTAAAAATTAGGGAGGCCTAAATTAGATTTACTGTCTTTATAATGCCATCTTTCTATAAAAAAAGACTGTATCTCAATGTTCCATAAAATAATAGGTTTACTTTCTGTATTCTATTTTGTTAGTGCTCCTATATCCCTCCCTGTAAGAGAGAAAATCAGAAGAATTTGGAAAGTGTCATGAATTGGCAACAGTACTGGAAAGATGAGATTGGTTCCCAGCCATTTACTTGCTATTTTAATCAACATCAAAGGTAAGTCAATATTTGCATGTGCGTGTTAAAATTGTTTGTAGACTCTGCAGCTTATTACACTGTTATATCGTAGATTATGCCCACTTGACAGCATGGAGATAGCCTCAACTCTTCTTTGCGTGTAATTAGGGAAACCCATATAATGAATCTGCAGGACAGAGAAAAAGACTTGTGTTGTACACCTTACCCTGTGAATATACTACAAAATGATAGTGACTTTAGGTAGGAACATTACTTTGCATTTCCTAAGAATTGCAGATTGATGCACATAAGCTAAGCAATGTGCAGATTTGCCAGCACTTTTAGACTGCATCGAATCTTACCTTTCCTTTTCCTTTCTATTCTGATGAAGCGTCAATAACGTGAGTTCACACCATTAAAACCTTACTTGACTTAGTACTCAGTTTATACCATATAAACCATGTAAAGATGGTTCCTTGGACTAGGGCACTTTGGTACCCACTCAGATTAATCAGTAATTTATTCATCAAACATTTATTGAGTATTCACAATTCCTTGCTGTACATCTCCACTTGGATGTTCCAGGGTTACCGCAAACCTTCACTTGCTCCCATAATCTCTGTCTTAGAAAATGGCATGACCATTCACTCATTTACCAAATCCAGAAACCTTTGAGTAATGCTTAGTTCATTTTTCTCCTTTGTACTTTGTAACCTATGTCACCATCATGTATTTTTGTTTGTTTTTAGACAGAGTCTCACTCTGTCACCCAGGCTGGAGTGCAGTGACGAGATCTTGGCTCACTGCAGCCTGCACCTCCCAGGTCCAAGTGATTCTTGTGCCTCAGCCTCCCGAGTAGCTGGGACTACAGGCACACACCACCACAGCTGGCTAATTCGTGTATTTTTAGTAGAGACAGGGTTTCACCATGTTGACCAGGCTGGTATCTAACTCCTGACCTCAAGTGATCTGCCTGCCTCAGCCTCCCAAAGTGCTGAAATTACAGGCGTGAGCCACTGTGTCCAACACATCATGTTGATTTTTACCTGTATCATGACTCTTCTCTGCCTCCCCACTATCACTGTCTTAGTTTACATCCAGATTTCTCAGCTCCATTAACGCAATAGTCTTGTAACAAGTCTTCCGCCTCCACCGTGGACCCACTCCAAGCCACTCTCCATAGTACTGCCAAGGTAATCTTTCTAACACATGAGTCTAATCAGGTTACTCTGCATAGTTTTCAGAATAAAGCTCAAACATCTTGGCATGGCCTATGTCAGATACCTATTGCTGCATAACAAACCACCCTAAACGTAGTGGCTTACTACAGCAATGACACTTTTTTTTTTTTTTTTTATGATTCTGTGGGTTGGCTGTGCTCATTTGTAGTCGGATGATGGCTGAAATAGCTGCATGGTTCAAGATGGCCTCCTCCCTCACATGCCCAGCAGTCAGTGCTGGCTGTCAGCTGGGGCGCCTCAGTATCCCCACCACCTGGCCTCTCATTCTTCAGTAGGCTAGATTGCCTTCCTTACAACGTGGCAGCCTCAGATAGCATTTCAAGAGAGGTAGGCCTCGGCTCTGGAATTTGAATAATATCACTTCTGACACCTTCTATTGGTCAAAGCAAGTCATGAAGCCAGCCGTATTCATGAGGTTCTGGAGTAGGCTTTGCCTCTTGATAGGAGGAGCTGCAAAACATTTGTCACCACATTTAATCTACCACAGGATACAAGGCTTCTCAAGATCTTGTCCCAGACTGTCACTTCTCCAACCTCATTTCCTTGCTCAAACTCTTTGCAATAGCCATTCTGAACTATGTGCACTTCCCAGAATATTTTATACTTTTATATGTATGCCTTTTTATTTGCTTTTCCTGCTTCTTGGCGGCCATACTGGAAATTCCTCAGATATCACCTTCTCTGGGGTGCCTTCCTTGATCCCCAATTTTGATTTAGTTCTGTATCAGTTGAGATGTGATGTGTTGCAGGTAATCAGAATTTTGACTCAAAGCATCATAAAGAAATTAGGAAATGTATTATTTTATACATCAAGAAATGCAAGGCCAGGCATGGTGGTTCACGCCTGTAATCCCAACACCGTGGAAGACTGAGGCGGGAGGATCACTTGAGCCCAGGAGTTCAAGGCCAGCCTGGGCAGCGTAGGGAGACCCTGTCTCTACAAAAAATTTTAAAAATTAGCCAGGCATGATGATGTGCACCTGTAGTCCCAGCTACTCAGGAAGCTAACATGGGAGGATCGCTTGGGTCCTACTAAGCCTTGGGAGGTTGAGGCTGCAATGAGCCATGATCACACCACTGCACTTTAGCCTGGGTGACAAAATGAGACCCTGCCTCAAAAAAAAAAAAAAAAAAAAAGGAAGAAAGAAAAAAATGAAAATGAAGGAGAAATGCACAGGTGGACGGATGTCAGGGTTGTTTGATGCAATGACTTAATAGTGTTACCAAAACCCAGCTCCTTTTCAAATCTGGCCTCAAGGTGGCTCTTTTCACAGTTATAATATAGTTGCTTCAGTTCCAGATGTCCCAGCCAGATGCAGCAGTGTCCAAAGAGAGAAAGAGCCTGTCTTTCTTGATGCATTTTTCTTGGGATTTGGAAAACTTTTCCCATCTTCCCACAGGCAACCTCCCTTCATGTATCCTTGTTCACAGTGAGTTCCTTTGCCCACACCTAAACCAATCACAAGAAAGAACAATCAGAATCAACCCCTGACTTGGGGCTAGTGTTACATCTCTTAAGTCACTTGGAGACGGGGTATACCCCTGAGTAGATTTGGGAAGGAAGAAGAAAGGGAACAAGGTGTTGTGGAACAACCAAAAATGCCAATGAAAAGGTTGTCTCCCATATTCCATAGTCATCGTCTTTTATTTTATTTTATTTTATTTTATTTTATTTTATTTTTTCAGGAAATGTTTCTGAGTCATAATATTCCATAGGCTTCTATTTACAACTCTCTCCCAGGAGCTTGCAAGGGTTGCTTCACATAACTAGGCCAGAGGAGCTTTTTATTTTATTTTCTTTTTGTTTTGTTTGAGTAGGAGTCTCGCTCTGTCACTCAGGCTGGAGTGCAGTGGCACGATCTTGGCTCACTGCAACCTCTGCCTCTCAGGTTCAAGTGATTCTCCTGCCTCAGCCTCCCAAGTAGCTGGGATTACAGGTGCATGCCACCATGCCCAGCTAATTTTTGTATTATTTAGTAGAAACGGGGTTTCACCATGTTAGCCAGGCTGGTCTTGAACTCCTGACCTCAGGCGATCCTCCCATCTTGAAGTACTGGGATTACAGGCGGGAGCCTCTGTGCCCAGCTAGAGGAACTTTAAAAAAAGAAAATTTACCACAGACCAATTAATTAGAATCTTTGGTGGTTGAAACCGGGCATTAGCATTTTGTAAAATCGATGCTAGGGATTCTAATCTATAACCAGAAACTACAGTCACTGTTCTGCCCTTTCACTTTTCACCCATTACTGGAATTGTTTGTATGCCCATTTTCCTCACCAGGCTGCACACTTGTTAAGGGTATGGGCCAGTCTTCTTTGTTTATGTATCTCTAATATCTAGCACAATGTCTGGGTTTCAGGTAATAAATATTTGGTGAGTGAATGAATAAGTGAATGCAATGTGTCAAATTAAAAGGAGGGTTCTTTGCTTCCAAGGAATTAGGACTTATTGCTGAAAGCATATGCATATGCACATATAAATATGATTACATCAGCTAGAAATAGAAGGGGGAAGACTGAACATTGAGGTGGCAACAATAAAGAAATTAAGGCTTGACAATGTAAGATACCTTAGGTAAATAAGTTATGTAATATGGAGTAATGAGTTTGTAAGCTAGAAAGGTAGCTTGGGGTTAGATTTCTAATGGGTCATTAGTGTCAAACTAAAGAGATTCTTTGTCATATAGGCAATAAAAATTTGTCAAAAGTTTTTTTTTTTTAATTGAAGACTGACATGAGTAGACCTTTTGAGTTAGAAAGTAACTGGTGTGAATGTTGAATGTATACTGGCTGGGAAAGATGGGTTAAAGGCAGAAAGAAAGGAGAGTACTGAGTGAAAAACATTTTTGAATGGTTACTGTGTGCCTGCCATTGTGAATGACATTTTGTTTAGATTACTAAATCTCTAAATACTAGCCCCATTTAACATATGAATAAATTGCATATTTAAAAAGTTAAATAACTTCTCCAGTGCACACAACTGTTAAGTGCAAAAACTGGAATCCAGTTAGTCTGATTCCCAAAGTTCCCATCGACTATCTGCTGGTCCTCGTAAGAGACTTTGAGGGCATAAACGAGAATAGTGGTGGTGAAAGTAGCAACAAGGATTATAGCAGTAAGATTTTTTAGTTAGAATCAACAGAACTTAATGACAATGTAAGTGATAAGGAAAAAGGTGTCAAACTTGACTGAGTGTTAGAAAAGGACAGTCTAGCTCTGAGTATGCTGAATTTGAGAGATTCTTAAAATATCCAGAAGATGCTTTGAAAGAGTTAGAAACACAGACTTTTAAGTTGAGGAGCAAGAGGTCAGAAGCAGTGCTATTCAGATGTGGGAATCATGGCGCACAAGCTGTAGTTGAAGCGAAGACAAAGAGTGCATATTGTGAACATTTAGAGTGAGGAGGGAAATGTTGACAGAATCTTAGGATCATCTACATTTAAGTTATAGGCAGAAGGAGATGAAGGAAGAGTGGCCAGAGGGTGAAAGGAAAATCAAATAAGAACGTCTTAAAAGGAGAGTATTTTAAGGAGAAGAAGTTAGTCAAGAAGAAGATAATTTAGGTACAGCCTTTGATAAGTACAGACTACTCATTCAAGAAGTTTGCCATGGACTACATCATACTAAATAGCAAAGAAAACACTCAACAGAGTGAAAAGGCAACCTACAGAATAGGAGAAGATATTTGCAAACTATATATCTGCTAAAGAGTTAATCCCCTGAATACATAAGGAACTCCTACAACTCAATAGTAAAAGAAACTAATAATCTGATTTAAAAAAAGGCTAAGGGCTTAAATAGATATTTCTCAAAAATAGACATCTAAATGGCTGACAGGTATATGAAACATTGCTGAACCTCACTAATCATCAGAGAAATGCAAATCAAAGCCACAATGTAATGTCACCTCACGCCTCTCAGAATGACTATTAACAAAAAAACAAAAGACAGGTATTGGTGAGGATACGGACAAATTGGAACCCTTGCATACCGTTGGTGGGAATGCAAAAGGATGCAGCTGCTATGGAAGACAGTATGGATGTTCCTCAAAAAATTAAAAGTAGAACTACTGTATGATCCAGCAATCCCACTCCTGGGTATTTCTCCAAAAGACTTGAAATCAGGATCTTGACTCTTCAAGATCCTGAAGAGCACTCCTCCTTTTACCACAGCAGTATTCACAATAGCCAAGATGTGGAAACAACCTAAATGTCCATCAGCAGATGAATGGATAAAGAATATGTGAAGCCAGGCGCAATGGTGATACCTGGGGTCTCAGCTAGGGGAGGCTGAGGCGGGAGGATTGCTTGGGGCCAGGAGTCCAGCCTGGGCCACATAGCGAGATCCGATCTCGAAAAGAAATAGAAAGAAAATATGGTATGTACATACAATGGAAGTGTTCAGCCTTTGAAAAGAAGGAAACTCTGCAACATGTGACGACATGGATGAACCTGGAGGACATTATACCAAGTGAAAGAAGCCAGACACAAAAAGGCAAATACTGTATGATTCCACTTATATGAAGTATCTAAAATAGTCAAATTCATAGATTAAAAAAGTGGAATGGTGGTAGTTATCAGGGGCTGGGAGGAGGGGGTAACGGAAGTTACTAATCAATGGCCATAAAGTTTCAGTCAAGTAAGATCAATAGGCTCTACAGACTTGTACAGTACAAGTCAACACTTGTGTACAACAATACTGTACTATCACCAACAGTAATGTATTGTACACTTAAAAATTGAAGAGGGTATATCTCATCTTAAGTATTCTTACCACAATAAAATAAAATTAAAGTTTCCTATGACTGGAAAAAGGCTTGGGGAGGAGGTGAGTAACTGAGGAGTGGATATAGAGAAATAAGCCTCCTGCAGATGAAAACTGTTGGAGGGAGAGAGAAAAATGGAATGTATATCGTAAAGTAAAAATGGAACGTGCCCTGAAGAAAACGAGACAGAATGAAATAAAATGCTGAAGGAGTACGCAGATTTCTTTTTCTGTGAGGTGGGACTCTTTGAGCCTGAACCCACTGCTGTGTGAATCAGGTGCTTCCTTGAAGCTTCCTGCCCTGGACTGGGAACTGGTTTCAGAACGTTCCTGAGCTTGAGCTTGCAGTTGGAGGTGAACAAGGCACCCCTTCCATGTGCTGTCCTGACTAGCTGGTGACCATGTTGATGAACGTCCTCTCACTCCCCACTTGGGAACTGCGTGTTGTAAGGGCTGCCTCCCCCTGACAGGGTTGTCTCCTCCTGTCAGGGCATGAATTTTGAATATTCTCAATACCCAGTCAAGAAGGACTATTCCTCCAGAAGTGTGAGGTCTACCTAAAAAGAGCTAAACCAAATTATATACTAAAAGTATAAAAGTATTTTTTTGTACTCTCGCAACAATTCTGACACCAAATGTGTGGGGTATTTCCACACCAAGCAGTTCAGTTCTCTGGTGACACTAGCTGGTGTCCTACAGTTCAGTTTGTTTCTGGAGTTGGCATCAGATCCCACAAATTAAAGGGTCCAGCCCCACAAGATGACCCCCACTTCAGATGTCAAGCGCATGTCCCAGCTATCTACCTGTACTTCTGGCTGACCTTCTCTAAGTCAGGGGTTCCCACATCCTCCCTCCTTGCATTCAATAATTTGCTAGAATGGCTCACAGAACACTACTTACTATTCCAGTTTATTATAAAGGACACAACTCAGGAACTGCCAGATGGAAGAGATGCATTGAGCAAGGGGCCCTCTCCAGGCACACCACCTTCCCAGCACCTTGATGTATGCACCAACCCAGGAGCTCTGGAGTTGTTAGGGTTTTTATGGCTATTACATAGGCACGATTGATTACAGCATTGGCCCTTGGTGGTTGAGTTGATCTCTAGCCAACTCTCCCTTGCCTGGAGAGGTGGCTAGAGAGAGGTGGTGCTGAATTCTTTTTTTTTTTTTTTTTTTTTTTTTGAGATGGAGTCTCACTCTGTCGCCCAGGCTGGAGTGCAGTGGCTTGATCTCTGCTCACTGCAAGCTCCGCCTCCCGGGTTCACACCATTCTCCTGCCTCAGCCTCCCGAGTAGCTGGGACTACAGGCGCCCGCCACCACACCCGGCTAATTTTTTGTATTTTTAGTAGAGACGGGGTTTCACCGTGTTAGCCAGGATGGTCTCGATCTCCTGACCTCGTGATCCGCCCGCCTCAGCCTCCCAAAGTGCTGGGATTACAGGCGTGAGCCACCGCGCCCAGCCTGAGGTGGTGCTGAATTCTAATCCTCTATTCACATGGTTGGTTCTTCTGACAACCGGTCCCCATCCTCCAAGAGTCACCTCACTAGTATAAACTTGGGCATGGTTGAAAGGGGCTTACTATGAAAAAACGAAGATTCTCCTCTCACCCCGACTACTCAGGAAATTACAAGGGTTTTACAAGTTCTGTGCCAGGAACCGGGGCAGAGACCAAATACAAATTTCTTATTATGTCACCTATAGCAGTTGTGTTAACTTCAGTACAGTAAATTTAAGCTCATTATACCTCCTTCAGAACGGATACACATTCCCTATCCATCATCTCACTGTCCCATTCCCAAACGGTGGGGGTGTAGATAGAAGCGGGGGTGGTCTATCACAGCCCAGCAGCACTCAAGACAGGATTTTTCAGCGACTCTGGGAAGGCAGGCGTTCGGAGTTTGGCTCTTTTACCATGACATATGTGAGAGGAAACAGGAGTGCTGTTTGGAGGTGTGAAAAATGGCAGCTCCCTGGTGCCATCTACTCTTAGTACACTTTTTACTACTGCTAAATATGAAATTAAAATAGACTTACTGTAGGGACTCCCAGATGCTCTTGAAAAGATGAACTTTATATTTAAAGAAACCTTTCGATTTCGCTCAAATGCAGGAAATTAGGGAGAATAGTCCAGTTTTGACTTTCAAGAAAAGGGTGTTATTTTAAAAATCTAAGACAAAGATTAGAGGAGTCTTAGCTTTCCACTGGTTAAGTCCTGTTGAGGCAAGCTGTATTCCAGTGTTGAGTCTGCAGCGGCCGAAGCAGCCCCGAAGCAGCTGTGCCTGCCGTGGGCAGTCAGTCTCGGTGCGGCCATCCCTCTCTACACCCAGGAAGGATTCTGCAGAGGCGTCACTGGGGTGAATTCATGCCAAGGGTTGAGTCCATTTGTGGCCCTCCCATATAACCTTTCCACTCTTTGCCTCCCTTAACCTCGAGGCTCAGTCTCCTTCCAAAATGTGTAGATTTTGTTTTTACACTTTTTTATTCAGGTAAGTTCACAATTCTCCCTATATCATGTTTTCATTTTTTTTCTCAGTCTTTCCCTGGCTTATTCCTTCTCAGCAAAACCTAACTTATACCCCCTTAACGAGTATACTTTGAAACCCCCTTTTCATTGCCAGAAAACTTCTCTGTATTCTCAATCTTTTCATACAATTTCCTTTCTTCATCTTTGCCTTAACTGGCTTCTCCTTGAAGAGGGCTTGTCCCTTTGAAAATAACTATTCATTCTTCAATTCCCTTTGGATCTAAAGGCCAAAAGGAGTGATCAGTCTTTTTATCTTTTCCTCTTGTTGGAGAGCATAGAGTTTTTCTATACAGGTTTACTTTTTAGTACTTTGTTTTATACCTCTGGATAGTAGGTCACAGAGTACACGGAGCAGGCTTACACAAACACACACGTCAAATGAACAAATCCAGCCACACCACCTGTGCAGTCTCTTGAATTCACTTCCTCCACCACTGCCTGGATTCAGGCTCTCACCTGGCTTGTTGAAGGCATCCTCAACTAGTCTGTCAGCCTTGGTCTTTCTCTTGTCTGTCATCCACACCACGCTAGGTTTTGTTTTGCTTTGTTTAAGCCTCCTTTTGATCTTGTCACAGTCCTTGATTAAATTTTTCTGCCTTCTTCTTATCTATAGGATAAAGGCCATGCTCTTCCAATTCCAACTTAAACTTCTGCCATTGAATTATGTGCCAGTCAAGGAAAACCAAAGACAAAACAACAAGAAAACAACAACAAAATAGCAGACACGGTCCTTGCCTTCATGGAGCCTATAGTCTGTAGTCACAACAGTAGTATAATTACAAAGTAGGGTAGTGCTATGAAGGGGAAGCTGAGGATGCTGCTATGAGATATTACGGCATGATGGGGAATTTCAAAGACCTTTCTGTGTAAATTAAAATTAGGTCAAGACCAGAGGATGTTCAAGAATTAGCTAGGTAAAAAGCTAGGGGGAGAATATTTCAGAATGAGATACTACCATGTGCCAATGTTCTGCAGCAAAAAAGAGCTTGGTGGTTTTAGGTACTGGAAGGCCAGTGTGTCAGGAGAACTGTGAATGAGTGGGAGAGTGGAGCAAGAACTATACAGGGCTTAGATTTCTCTTAAAATGTAGTGAGCAGCCAGTCGTTGGTTTTAAGCAGAGTGGTAATATGGTCTGCTTTACATATTTTAACTTTTATTCCAGCTGCATCAGTCACCTCGAGTCATTCTGTTTCCCATACACCTTGATGCCTTTGCTCCTGTCTCTTTCTCCTCACCTGGGGACACCTTCACCTTTTTTACTTCTGGGAATTAGCACAGCACAGTAGTCCTAGAATGAACTCTAGAACCAAACGCTTTCTAGTGGCGTGGTCTTAGATATGTTACTTAAATCTATCTGTGCCTCAGTTTCCTTTGCAGAAGTGGGATATAATATCAAGGAGATGGCATGTGCCTAACCCACAATAATTCCTACAAAAGTGTTTGCTATTATTGTTTTTATTACTATTATTAAGATTCACCTCAAATGTTACTGTGTAACCTTCTCCCACCTTTTCAGGTATAATTCATTACTTCCTCTTCTGCAGTCCCACACTGCCATGGTTGCTTTTATCACACTGTTAAGAGAGTTGAATATGTACTTTTTTGTTGTTATAGATTATGAATTCCTTAAGGGCAGCAGTCATGTGACATCAAGCATCGGGATTTACATTTCTCCTCTATCACTGATTAATTGTACGACCTTGGATAAATTGTGCAGCTTCTCCATCTTGGTTTCCTCGCCTGTAAAATGAGGATAGCATTACCCATCTTAAGAGCTTCTGTTTTGGTTTTGTAAGAAACACATTTGCACCATAGCTAATACTTAGTAAACACATATGCTTTTCTTCCCTGCCTCTGTAGATTTCTAACAACTAAGTTAGAAACAAAGTTGGGCCTGGTTATTTACTGATTGGAGGCTGAGGTGTTGAATAAATAAATAATGAGGGTTTTATGAATGAGTAAAACAACAACACAAAAAAAAGGAAGAAAGAAGAAATTCTGTTGTTAAATATGTTGTACTCCTGATGCTAACAGATATATCCTAATTTCTAAGTTCACTCAAAGTGTGTTTATCCTGTAGCATATGTTTTTAAATCCAGTTTACCCTTAGCATTTTAAAGAAAGATAAACATAATGGCCTGAGCTCAAATTGAGTAGTGGTTTCTTCAGAACACAGTTTTAAAGCCATTAAAATAGAAGATGAAAAGCAACTGATTAGAAAAAGACTGCTCACTTACTTAGGGTTTAGTTTTCTTAACTATAAAATTTGATAGACTGATGGATGAAATGATCTCTAAAATTCCTTCAAACTCTCAAATTCTATGGTTTTATGATTCCCTGGTTCTGAAGACTTGTACAAAATTACAACAACTTAAGATGCTAGATAAAATCCTAATGGTGAAAGGGAGAGGCAATTAGTAAAGAAATAAATGGTTAACAGTCTAGAGCCATTTAATGGAGAGGGAGACAGCCCTGCTACCTCAACGGTAATTGAGTTTCATAATGATGACACTGAGTCATCAAAAAAGGTTAAATTTGGTTCAACCTACTCTCCTTAAAAGGCAAAGAAATGTGTAATGCATTTTTAGGAAGATTTTTACCAATAATATTTTAATATTTTATTAGTTTTTATTCAACTTAAAATTTAAGCTTTAATTATTTGGAAAATTCACTTTTGTAAATGTCTATTTCCTCTCCGTGAAGCAAGCCCATTTCAGGGGCTACAGAGATCTTCCTGCCGCCACAGAATAGCTTATCACTCTGGTATCATGGTTGTTACTCTTTTTGTAATTTAGTGTCCTAAATTTTACACATAAAAATGCTACCATCTCAAGCTGGGAACAGTGGCATATACCTGTAGTCCCCACTACTTGGGAGGCTGAGATGGGAGGATCATTTGAGTCCAGGAGTTTAAGGCTAGCCTGGGCAGCATAGGGAGACCCTGTCTAAAAAAAGAAAAAAGAAAGTGGTAGATGAACTGAAGAGGTTGAAATAGATAATACTGTGCGTGTATGTCATGCTAAGGGGTTTAAATTTGTCTTAAGGGCAGTGGAGGAGTGACAGTCACATTTAAGTTTTAGAAAGATGAGTCTAGTGGCAGCATGGAGGGTAGATTGATAGAAGCCAAAGCTGGAGGATCCATGAACAATTTGGAGACTGTTGTACCAGTCTAGACAAGGGATGGTAGGAGCTTGGACAAAGGTAGAATTAGTGGAGGAAGAAAAGGAGGAATGGACATAGGACTTGAAGGAAGTGGAATCTGCAGATTTAGAGAAGTACATGATGCTTGATAGGGGTTGAGGTTAAGAACTGGATGGAATTGGATCCAGTTCTGGCTTTCTGTCCTGGGTAACTGTTTTGGAGGCACCATTAACTGGAATGTTCTGGGAAAGCCTTTGCTTTTCTGATGTGAGTGCTGCTGCCTCCTGCTTTCTGATGCCACAACAGCAAAAGGCATCATGCAGCTTTGAGGTGATAAACAGGAGAGTGGACATCTACACATTAGTAAGAGTGGAGCAAAAAGAGCCAGCTTCCTGGCACTCTTGTGGAATAGCTGCCCCTGCCCTGGCCATGCTACCTCTGGATTTCTTGTTATGTGTGACAGACAACACTTACATGCTTAGAAATAGGCATCTGAATATGTTTATAACCAATAGAGTGAAAAATGATTGGTCAGTTGTAGTTTATTTTCCGGACGTCTTTGCATTCTAAAAACAGATTGAGCTCTAAAAACAGATGCAAGCTCAAAAAAAGATTTATTTTAATATATTTATATGTTGAATTTAATTGTACCATTGGCTTCTAAGTTTTTCTTTTGGCTTTTTTATAGAGCAAATTACTAAAGAAAAAACTTTGTTTTTACTAGCAGACCTCTTAGTATACAAATGGGGAAAATGTGCATATAAAGATGGGACCTAAGATTTGGAACAAATTCCAGAGGAAAATTTTGTTGACATTGGAATGAATTACTAAATACTGTGTTTGATATTTGGTAAAAATTACTTATTTTTGTCTTCTACTCTGAGAAGTATTTCTTACAGTCTTATCATTAGAGAATAGACTGGTTCTAAGGCTATTTTTTACAGGAACATATTGGCTTTTTCTTTAGACATTAAACCCAATGATATATCCTGTATCTTAAAAAACAAAACAGTAAATCTGGAATCTTACCGAAACCAAGTATTTTCCATATACATTTGTGTCTGTCTCCATATTAAGAGAGATTACATCAGAGTTGAAGGCTTTCTTTGGTCCCAAAATCTGTACTTTTTAAAAAAAGCAGTGATTGCTGTGGCTTCTCCAGTATGCTGTGGAATATATATGGAAGTTATTCCAGTGTTTTTTCTCAGTCTGACATCCAAATGGCTGTACATTACTTAAAATCTACATTTGAGAGTCTGTTTTCTAATGGTTAATCAAAGTGTTTTCATGCTTGCAAATTCATCTTCTAACAGCTTTTATCATCGTGGCATTAAAGTTAAGAATTTGATGTTATTAAATCACTTTTCATTTAAGATATTTTATGCAGCCTTCAAACAAAGCCCTGAGGGAATTTGGGAGGAAAAATACAAGAACCGTAGGACAAGTAGGTCATAGAGTGCAGCATCATCAGATGGTGGAATGCAGGGCAGGGCTGTGCGTCAGGAGACTCCACTCCATTTCTATCCATGGCTCTCTTCGTGACTTAGTGATTGACCTTGGGCTACTTATCAAAGAGCTCTTGCCTCAGTTTCATCTTAGATAAAATGGGGCTAGAAGTCACCGGAAACACATGTCAAATGTATTGTGGAGTTCACAGACTCATAGACTGTCAAATCTGGGAGACACTTTTCATTCATTTGCTGCAACCCAAAATGAATCCCCACCACATAATTTTTTGAAGTGTTTTCTGTTCTCTACTTGAACGACTCTTGTGACAGTGGACATCACCTCCTCCTGAAGAAACCCACTCCATTTTTAAACGTTTTTAGTTGTCAAGAAATTAATCCTGGGAAATACCTAAAATAGGCAAATTCATAGAGACAGAAAGTATATTAAGTTTATCAGGGACTGAGGGAAGTGGAAAGTGGGGAGCTATTGCTCAATGGCTAGAGAGTTTCTGTCTGGTGAGATTTAAGTTTTGGGCTGGGTGCGGTGGCTCACACTTGTAATCCCAGCACTTTGGGAGGCTGAGGCAGGCAGATCATGAGGTCAAGAGTTCGAGACCAGCCTGACCAACATGGTGAAACCCCATCTCTACCAAAAATACAAAAATTAGCCAGGCGTGGTGGTGCATGCCTGTAATCCCAGCTACTCAGGAGGCTGAGGCAGGAGAATTGCTTGAACCCGGGAGGCAGAGATTGCAGTGAGCTGAGATCGCACCACTGCACTCTAGCCTGGGTGACAGAGCGAGACTCTGTCTCAAAAAAAAAGATTTTGGAAATAAATTATGTGAATCTAATTAATGCCACTAAATTGTGAGTCTAATTAATGCCACTCAGTTGTATACTTTACCACAATTTTTAAAGATTCACTGTGGTTAGTTCTATAATCTCAGTGTGGAGGTAGACCATATTGTCCAAGTTTTACAGAAGAGACAACAGAGGCTTTAAGATCACATGGCTAGGGAGGAGCAGTGTCAGGATCTGCACCTGAGTACTTGACCTTCAGACTGTGGGTGTCACCAAGTTCATATTGCCATCACTGTTGGGAACAGATTTGTTCTCATCATTTGGGATGCTTTTCTTACTGTGCCCTGAGCTGGCCAGTGCAGAGGAAGGCAGAACATTTCTACCACCCTTGATAAATCCAGAGACTGAAACTCAGTTAACGACATGGCATGAGCTTTTTTGGCAGCTACAGCACACTATTGATTCATATGGAGCTTATACTTAATTAAATTTGCTCTCCCAACATTTGATTTATACATGCTGCTCTTTATTAAAGCAGGTTCCCTCCATTCTTAAACTGTTGAGATTTGTGTAGCATTTAAATACGCAAGAATTTAAAATTTATTCCTATATGTGACTACATCTTGTTGCTTTTGACCGATTGTTCCAGTCTCATGATTATTTTGACTCTTGATTATGGTACCCATCATATTTGTTATATCTTCCATCATAATTCTATCTTAATTGTAAGTCAAAATGGCTTTGATTTTTCTCATCCAAGTTATCGATAAAAATGCTGAAAAGGACTAGGACATAGACCTATTTCACTGCTGATCTTCCTTTGGCCTTTCATAATAGCCGATACCTGTTTACCATGCTGCCTCTGTACCAGAAACTATTTAAATGTTTTTTACATATTAACTCATTGAATCTGCACAACACCCCTACAAGGCATTATTAACACAATCCTCATTTTATACATGAGGGAACTGGAACACAGAGGTTAAGCAATATGACCAAATCACATAGCTGGCAAGTGACAGAGCCAGGATTCAAACCTCTTAGTTCCAGAAGCCTCTTCTGTAAAACTTGGACAATATGGTCTACCTCCACACTGAGATTACAGAACTAACCATGGTGAATCTTTAAAAATTGTGGTAAAGTGCACAATTTAGTGGCATTAATTAGACTCACAATTTAGTGGCATTAATTAGATTCACAGAGTCTGTTCTCTTAAGCATTCTGCTCTGGTGCTGCTAACATCAGCCAGGATTCTAGTCCATATTGGGTTAGGATAACATAAGGGACTGTATTAAATCTAATTAATAAGATTGCTATTATAACATTTTTTAAAGTGCGTTGTTGGTGGCAAAATAATCTGAAATGCCAGACCAAAGCATTTGTGCTGTATCTTCTACCAAGAAATTCTTTCCCCATTTTTTCACCAAACTCTAATCTGTTCTTTCATGTCTGCTGAAAAGATACTTCCTTTTTATTTTCCCAGGCAAACTTCAGTTCTCCTTCTTTAATATTACCTCTGCACTTTGTACAAATGTCCATTGCATTTTGAAATGGATTTCAACAGTAAGCCAACAACAAACATTTATGAGCACCTAGAGCACATGCCAAGCATTATTCTGGGTAATGGGAATATAAACATGGGAAAATGGTGCTCCTGCCCTCGGATTTACAGCTGACTAGTGAGAGCCAACACACAAATATGGCCCTGGTCCCTGCTACATCATAGTTGTTCTGCAAATATCACATGGCTGAATGGAAGAGAGCTGAGTACCAAGAAAGTCTTTTAAAATGCCCAAATAAACATCTCTAAACTTTTTTGTGCTTTAGATTAAGATTATTTTTGACCATCATGGCTGTTTCCTTAGTGAAACCATTGGATCCTCAGCCCTTCCTGGTGTGTGTCAATGAGCTTAGGCTAAATTAGGCTGTGGTAACAACCTGAAAATCTCAGAAGCTTGTAACAACCAATGTTTATTTCCTGTCTAGGTCTGTCTTGGGTCGTGTGCAGCTCTGCTCCATGTCAGTTTCACTATGGGACCCCAGATGAAGGAGGGGCACCTATCTGGGACATTAATGCTAGTATCAAGGTGAAAGAGCAGAAAACAGGTTTCTGTAGGAATACCTGTGGCTATACTTTTTAGTGATTTTCAAATTCTTTACCATGTTTATTCCACCAATCTGACAGTTATTTACATGTGTTTTCTTGAATTTTGAATATCACATGCTACCAGGATAAAGTTAAGCTGCTGGCACATCTAAGAGAAACTTGAAGACTGATAGGGTCTTTTTCATTACTCAAGTTTTAAAATTCTATTGTTGAACTGTAAGTCACCACTTTAATTGTTATGCATATTTCTGTATAGTATTTTTGTTCTCCAAACATATTTGTAATCCTTCATTTAGGAAAAGAGCCTCAAAATTAATTTAGCTAATTTTACTTTGCAAAGGCATTTCAAGATGTTTAATGCATTTTAACTGAGAGATATTGCTTGACAGACTACAACAAAATTGAATGTAAAAATTGAATGTATAGTAAAGTATTCTTTACTATATAATTTAGGGGTTAGGATGAATGATTCATTGCTAGCCTTGATAGAAATGCTAGCCTATTTCTGTCTTCCTACAAGCAATAGCAAAATATATATAAGCTGCTAATTATTTAATTTAAAAAAACCGGTGTGTAATACACTTTAATGAAATAGGCTGTTAACAATTGGGAATCTTCTAGAATGATGATATTATAACAGAAGGTAGCGCTTTCTTCAGAAAGACATGCAGCTGACTTTCCCTTCACCCAGGATATATTTTTCAAATCCTTTCTCCAGAGCTGCCAAAATAATGGTACAATACTGATGCTGGAGCTATAGAAAAGAAAATAAATTGTGGTGATGGGTAGATTTTTCTTCACTGAGGATCTAATTACAGGGAATTGGACTTAACCTAATCAGACTTTAACGACAATTTCCTAAGAGTAAATTAGGGAACAAATTACTGTGAGATGAGTTGCAGAATCTTTTTCAGAGGTTTGGAGAAAGACAGAATGTCTGTTCACCTGTTTGGCCCCATTTAGTATTGGCTTAACCAGGCGCTGGCAGCAGTTCCTAGCATGCTGGGTCTGAAATTGTGACATGTATAGGAGCAGCAGCATTGGAGGCTCCTCAAGGAGGACAAAGCACCTAAACAGGGATGGGGCAGGTGAGTTGAAGGAACAGGAACTGCTTGTGACAGTTGTTATGCACACATTGGGGTTGGCTGGGCTAGATAGAGATCGATTAAAAGATGAAGCAGGAAGAAGAACAGTAATGACAGAATGAGTAGTAAATATGATCATTCATTCTTGGAAATTATCTGAAAATAGTTGGCACAGTCTGTAAAAACACAAGCAAATACACATGCCTGTTTATGCAAATACATCCATGATATTTGCAATTTCAAACAAATATATGTGGCCTTTGGAAAAAACCTCCATGAAATCTAAGATCTTGTTCCCTGCCCGCTACCTTAATTTGCTTAACTGACACTCTATGGCACTGGATTTTCACTTTCTTCTTTGAAGTCTTTTCTTATTCCACTAACATTTACTGAGCTCTCACTTTGAGCTTAGCAGGGTGTGATGCTCTTCTAGGAGCGGGAATACTGGGAAAAAAATCCAGGTTATTGGGAGTTGAACAAACTCACTGAGACCACCGACCATTCTTTATGGGGGCATTTGTGGTTGAGCCATGGGAGACTCAGCTAGCCCGTGTTGCTATGCCCCACTTCAATTGTCCTATCTAAGAAGCCATCTTGATTTTATATCAAAATTCATGGGGAAAATGTGCCTTGACTTCCTTTTAAATGCCTTATTTTGTCTGTGCACATCATACCCAGGACTGTTGAGATGGTAAGAAGATACATTGGCATTTGGGGGGATTCCTTACCCACCTCATTTCCTTGAGAACCAAATTCTAAAGCTCTTGCCAGCCTTACAGACACCCAATGGAATCCCTGCTCATATGCATATTTTGGGTGCATCAGTATGTTTGTCATTTTCTCCCTGGAAACGGTTTCTCACACCCACGTTGCAAGTGTGTGATCTGTGATTATATCTCTTTTCTGTGTCCTCTTTGCCTGGAGCGAGGGCTGAGAACATGATTCAGCTTAGGGAAATGATACAAAATGTGGTTGTTAAAGTGATCTTTCAAAAAGCAGCTTTTTATATGTGTGCAGTCACTATGCTTGGTGTAGCCTATGACTTCATTCACCTGAAGCAATGAAGCAGATTCCAGGATTTTAGAATTATGGTCTTGGACAAACCTAGAAGACACCTGCTTTTAGGCCCTTGGATATAATCTTATTTCATTTAAAAGATTTTGAAGATTTTGAGACAAAGGCGCGTGCTAACTTTGCTCCGTGATTAATCCTTCCAGAGTTTGTTGCCATCTTGATTTTATATCAAAAATCATGAGGAAAATGTTTCTTGACCTCCTTTTAAATGCCATATTTCATCTGTGCACATTGTACCCAGGATTGTTGAGATGGTAAGAAGATACATTGACATTTGGGGGGATTCCTTACCCACCTCATTTCCTTGAGAACCAAATTCTAAAGCTCTTGCCAGCCTTATAGATACCCAATGGAATCCCTGCTCATATGCATACTTTGGGTTCATCGGTGATTTTTGCTCACTGTGACTAATCCTTCCAGTGTTTGTAGCCTTTCTTATAAGGAGAACTTCTATTTCAGCTTTGTTAATTTGGCTTCACAAAGTAAAATAAGGGGCCCCATTGTTTTGTCTTAATCAGTGAAGGGAATATGGGATGTCCTGATATAATTAGTCCTTTGATTTTTAGTCCTATCCAGCCCGGGCTTGCTTGAGAAGTCCCTTGTGTAGCCCTATATTATCAGACATGCTATATCACAGCAAGCACCTTTTGATGTTTAAGAATTAATTCCTTTAAGGAATTCTAAAAAAGAAAGATATTTTCAGCATTAACATCCTAAATCAACATTTCCATTTTCTGAGGATGTTTCTTTAGCACTAGGCATCGCTGAGATAGAAAATGAGTTCTGAGAGACTTTCTTTGGAAACAAAATGGCTCACCCTTAAATTTCCCCGTTTCTGGATGAAATCTGATTTAATAATACAGTATTGCTCTTCAAATATGAGAGAAATCATTGTAAGGAAGAATGTGGGTTTTAAAGAATAGAATGGGTTGGATAAATGTTTTTATAAAATAGAAGTGAAAGGATCAGAAATCAGCAGTATCAAAACAACAAGAAGAACTGATTAAACCATGCACTTGTTACCTCTGAATTTCTCTTTGCAGAAATTCTACTTCAATTTTAAAATTCAGAATTAAAAAAAAATATTCAAAGGATAGTTAATGAACAAAAACTTTAGGAAAGTCAAACATGGTGTGGCATAGGATTGGGGCTAAAGTGAATATGCAGTTTAGAATTGCTAGTGACATTGTATCATAAAAGAACTGAGTAAAGAAGAACCAAGAATCTTTGGGCACATTTGATAAAAAATAAAGTTGAAAAGGAAATATCAAAGATGTATTACAAAGACAAAAAGGATATTCTATAAAAAGTAAGGAGGCACTTAGGGAGGATGGATATTAAAATTGCAAAGTGTTATTAATGCTGTGGTTAGGAACAGCAGATAGTGGTGGAAATAGTGGAGATCTACCTAGGCAAAGGCACAATGTAGGAAAAGGATGAAGGAAAGAGAAGTATTTCATAACGTGTGCTAATCTTTGGGCAGGTGTGTCTTGTATGTAAATGCCTGTCATAAAAGGCAAACACTGAAAAAAGAATGAAAAAAGTAAATCTTATAACTCAGATTGTAGATCTGAGTTATAAAATAGAATTAATAGAAAACAGTTTATTCCCTAGGTTATTTTTAAATACTTCTGTTGATGATTTAATTCTGAATGACTAACTGGGAAAGGGGATAGAAAACTTGTGCTAGTAAGGAACTGATTACAGTATAGGAGAGCGGTTTATGGTACTGTGGCTGTCTGAATAGTGGCCCCCAAAGATGTCCACACCATAATCCCGATGGATTTATGTTATTTTACTTTGCTACCATGTTACCTTGTATGATAAAAGGAACTTTGCAGATGTGATTAAGGATTTTGAGATGGGGAAATTATACTGGATTGCCTGAGTGTGCCCCAAATGCAATCATGGGATACTTATAAGGGGGAGATGAGATCAGAGAGAGTAGTAGGGGATGTGATCAGGGAAAGGAGATTAGAGTGATGCCAGGGAGGGGGCCATGAGCCAAAGAATGCAGGAAAGGATGCTGGGAAAGGCAAGGAAACAGATTCTCTCCTAGAACCTCCAGAAGGAACACAGCCCTGCTGACACCTTCATTTTAGTCCAGTGAAACAGATTGCAAACCTCTGACCTCCAGAACTGTAAGAAACTACATCTGTGTTGCTTTAAGCTACTAGAGCAGCAATAGGAAATAGATACAGGCAGTAATTTGCAGATAGTTCTAAGTGTAATTGACTTTTACAATGAATATGAGCTTTTCTTCAACTTTGAGCTTTGAAAATACTACAGATTGCCAGGCGCAGTGGCTCACACCTGTAATCCCAGCACTTTGGGAGGCCGAGGCGGGCGGATCATGAGGTCAAGAGATCGAGACCATCCTGGCTAACACGGTGAAACCCCGTCTCTACTAAAAATACAAAAAATTAGCCGGGCGTGGTGGCAGGCACCTGTAGTCCCAGCGGGAGGCTGAGGCAGGAGAATGGTGTGAACCTGGGAGGGGAGCTTCCAGTGAGCTGAGATAGCGCCACTGCACTCCAGCCTGGGCGACGTAGCGAGACTCCGTCTCAAAAAAAAAAAAAAAAATACTACAAATTTTAAAAGGTTCTGGTTCTGTATCATACTCTTGGGGTTGTCAAATTCATTTCTTCAAGGTTGGAAAAGTTGGACTTGGACTAGATTTGAGGTCACCTATGCTGTGTAGGGTTTTGTAGAAAACTGCTTCCCAGCTGAGTATGGTCGCTCATATCTGTAATCCCAGTGCTTTGGGAGCCCAAAGTTGGAGGATTGCTTGAGTCCAGAGTTCGAGACTGGCCTGGGTAACATAATGAGATCCTGTCTCTACAAAAAATTGTAAAAATTAGCTGAGCGTGATGGTGGGCACCTGTAGTCCCAGCTACTAGGGAGGCTGAGGTGAGAGGATTGCTTGAGCCCAGGAGGTTAAGCACTCCAGCCTGGGCGACAGAGTGAGACCTTGTCTCAAAAAAGAAAAAAAAAAAAAAAAAAAAAAACTTTTCCCATACATACCCTCATTTGATCTTCTTAATGAGGGTTTTATTTCCCATTTTACAAATGAGGAAACTCCAAGGGTTTTTATTTATTTATTTATTTATTTTTGAGACAGAGTCTCGCTCTGTCGCCCAGGCTGGAGTGCAGTGGCGCAATCTTGGCTCACTGCAAGCTCCACCTCCCAAGTTCACGCCATTCTCCTGCCTCAGCCTCCCGAGTAGCTGGGACTACAGGTGGCCGCCACCACACCCATCTAATTTTTTGTATTTTTAGTAGAGACGAGGTTTCACTATGTTAGCCAGGATGGTCTTGACCCCCTGACCTCTTGATCCGCCCGCCTTGGCCTCCCAAAGTGCTGGGATTACAGGCGTGAGCCAGCATGCCTGGCCTTTTTTTTTTTTTTTTTAACGAAGTTATTTTTCTAGAGCATTCATAGTTTGTTTTTATACAGTTAAGGTTCTCATCCATCTGGATTTTTTGGTAAGTGTGGGGAGAATAAAATGAGGAGCCGCTGTTTTTTTCTCCAAATGGCATGTATTGTCCCAACACAATTTATTGAATCAATAATTCATCTCTCCCATACGAATTTAAACTATTGAACTTTCACATCAAATTTGGAACTACAAAGTAGGTTAACAAGGTGAGAACTATTATAAGAATAATCTGTCTCAAATGAAGAATGTAAATGTCTTCTTGTCTCCAGTTTATTTCTGCTTAAACCTTAAGTTTAAATGTTTGGACAGAAAAACACTTATAGTCCTCTATGAAATAAATAACTTGGTAACTCAGAGAAACCACAGACCAAATTACTCTGAAGAACAGCAATTCTTAAAGGAAACCTCTCAGGAATTTCTGGAACAAGGCTGTCAGCTAGTTTTCAAAATCCTGCACTTCTGATGAAATCAATGAATTGAAAGTCCTCCTCTCTGGTGTGGAGATAACGTTGAACTGATCCAGGTTCCTGAGCAGCTCAAGGAGGTCGATGGAAGAGGAAAAGGATTTAATGTAAATTTAATGCAGTTTCTTAGATCTGATCTTAGAGAATATCTAACTAGGTTGAAAATTCTCTTTCTGTTGTATTTTCAATGGAAGAGCAACAAAGGATTTCTAATTAATAAAGCCTTTTTGTGCCAAGCTGACTTTAGAATAAAATTCATTCGTTGATTTGCCTTTTTAAAAAAGACAGAAAGTCATAAGCATCCTTCTGGTTTGCAGGTCTTGATGATTACCCCTCTTTATTTCTGAGAACTCAGGAAGCATCTCCGGCAGGGGTTATCCTTAATAGGCCCCCGATCTCAGGGTTTTAAGAATCACATTGGGAAAACCGACAGATGGATAAAAAATAATTACCACACAGTGTGAGTAAAACCTTTTAAAAAGTCTATTACTCTGGGAGCACAGAGTGGCGACGGTTTCCCCAGGCCTCTACTTTAGGAGACTTGGTTGAGACAATTACTTCACTGGGCTGCATCTGAAGGGACGGTCATCTTAATCAGTAGGAAAACATTTGCCAAACCCAGCTACCGTAAGAATTTAATGCTGTTAAATGATAGTTTGTGGGATAAGTTTGGGGTATAACTTCTATTTGTAGTCCTAATCATGGGTCTAGTGCTACTGAATTATTTTTTTCCTTGCTGTACCTGAGATACATATATAACACTTTATTTCTCCAAAATAACATACCTGCCAGTTTTCTGGATATCCTGCCAAAACTGAATGCAAATTTTTCTCTCCAAAAACTGCAAGTTTGGGGCTTGATTTAATTTTCTCCATGAAGAATAGGCAAGCTTGATGGGCAGCAACTCTTGTACAATTAAACATTAGTACTTAAAATTAACCTACTTTGAGAAAACAGCTAAGGAAAATGTAAGGCTGTTTATAACATTCATACATCTATAATCAGCCTTTCGTTCATAGATAGGAAGCATCTGTGGAGCAAACCATAATCTTGTTATAATACCTCCCTAGCCTTTTTCTTTTTCATCTTTTTTTTTTGGAGAAGGTCTCAGTCTGTCGCCCAGGCTGGAATGCCGTGGTGCAATCTTGGCTCACTGTAGGCCCACTGCAGCCTCAACCTCCTAGGCTCAAGCGATACTTTCACCTCAGCCCCTAAATAGCCAAGACTACAGGCGTATGCCACCACGCCCATCGAATTTTTTTATATTTTGTAGAGACAGGGTCTCCCTATGTTGCCCAGGCTGGTCTTGGTCTGGGCTCAAGCAGTCCTCCCTCCTCGACCTCCCAAAGTGCTGGGATTACAGGCATGAACCACTGTGCATGGCCACCTCCCAAGCTTTTAAAAGCCCTTATCACAATATCATTGGTAGACCCCAGTGGGCAAAAATTGGCTCATGATACTGTAGGGGACAAAAACAAACAAACAAAATACTTTTCCTTTACATTTCAGGTTTAGTGGCTGGGGCCTGTGAATTAAACTGACAAAAGGTAAATTAACCAGAGAAAAAGCATACACATTTTATCAATGTTAACATTTTTATGAGCATGGGGCTTCACAGTAGTATATAAGAAGTGTTTAGACTCAGGGCTTGTCTACCTAACTTAGTAGGGAAAAGGGAGAGGAAGAAAAGTTTCCTATGGGAAGGACAAATGGCTTTTTAGGAGGACAAGTTAGTGGTAATGTTTTTCTTTATGAGTATTAGTGGTCTTTCTGTCTCCCTCAGGGCCACAAAATTCCCCTGGAGAAGGGATTTACAGTAGCCTCAAATCTCAGAAGCTACTGCTTTTAGTCAGATAAGGGAAGATCCAAGAAAGCTTTGTTTAGCACTTGTTGAATCTAAAATGTCTTCAGCTTAAGATAATCTTGAAACCAATGCTGGAGTTCTGAGTGGATCCCCACAACAGAGCAGTTCAATGTAAAGAATACTGCAAAGGTGAGCCGAGATCGCGCCACTGCAGTCCAGCCTGGGCAACAGAGCGAGACTCCATCTCAGAAAAAAAAAAAAAAAATATTGCAAAGGCTGGGTGCGGCAGGGCATGCCTGTAATCCCAGCAATTTGGGAGGCTGAGGCAAGGGGATCAGTTGAAATCAGGAGTTTGAGACCAGCCTGGCCAACGTGACAAAACCTTGTCTCTACTAAACGTACAAAAATTAGCCGGATGTGGTGGCACACGCCTGTAATCCCAGCTACTCAGGAGGCTGAGGCAGGAGAATCGCTTGAACCCAGGAGGCAGAGGCTGCAGTGAGCCGAGATCGTGCCACTGCACTCCAGCCTGGGCGACAAGAGCAAAACTCCGTCTCAAAAAAAAAAAGAATACTACAAAGGGTCTCTGTGTTCTGGTCTCTGTAGTCCCACTATAATTTATAACATAACTTGATATAGCTTTTAGGTTGCCTTCCTGTGATTGCATAGGAAGACAAGCACGCTCTGCTGCTCTCTTGGCAAGGTCTTACGATTGCCTCAAACAACAACTAGACACACTGGCTAATTACTCTCAGTAAGATCAGCTCAGTTATGCCAAAACCAAATCCAACACTTTTCTCAGTTAATTGTTAACATCTTTCAGTAGAAAACATCTTGGAAATCTTTTAAAAGTCATGAATCAATAGATCAAGTCAGATATTTTCATGGGTTGTGTTTTAATACAATCTCTTTCCAGAAATCCCATAGCATGGAGTTTTGCCAAAAAAACAAAAAACATTGAGGCCAGGTGTGGTGGCTCATGCCTGTAATCCCAGCACTTAGAGAGGCCGAGGTGGGCAGATCACAAGGTCAGGAGATCAAGACCATCCTGGCTAACACAGTGAAACCCCGTCTCTACTAAAAACACAAAAAAAATTAGCCAGGTGTGGTGGTGGGCGCCTGTAGTCCCAGCTACTCGGGAGGCTGAGGCAGGAGAATGGCGTAAACTCAGGAGGCAGAGCTTGCAGTGAGCCGAGATCGGGCCATTGCACTTCAGCCTGGGCGACAGAGCAAGACCCCATCTCAAAAAAACAAAAACAAAACAAAACACTGAATAATACTCGCATCAAGGCTTTCTAGATTACATATCGTGGTCAGTAACTTTTGCCTGAAAACCTATGACATAGGCACCTCTTTCACTTGTGGCATCTCATTTAAAGATTTGTTTATACACTTGACATTTCTGTAGAAGACTTTCTGAGGCTCTCTGAAACCCAGCCTCAAGCAAAGTTATCTGGGAAAGATCACATGTCAGGTCTTCTTTGGTTTTCATTATAAAAAAATCATTGTGCCACCTCCATGTTAGGAATCTAACCTGATGGGACACCCTCACCCAGAAACATAGGACACTTCAGGCACCTCAGTGATTTGAGTCTTGAACGATTTGCTCTTCAGCCATTGTCAAAAACTAGGCTGATGCATTTGATATTTAAAAAGCATTTTTAGCTGGGCGCAGTGGCTCACGCCCATAATCCCAGTAGTTTGGGGGGCCGAGGCAGGCGGATTGCTTAAGCTCAAGAGTTCAAGACCAGCCTGGGCAACATAGTAAAACCCCATCTCTACACAAAAATATGTAGAGATCATGAAAATGACCTGAACAGGCCAGGCGGGGTGGCTCACGTCTGTAATCCCAGCACTTTGGGAGGCTGAGGCGGGTGGATCACAAGGTCAGGAGTTCAAGACCAGCCTGGCCAAATATGGTGAAACCCCATCTCTACTAAAAGTACAAAAATTAGTGGGGTGTGGTGGCAGGCGCCTGTAGTCCCAGCTACCCAGGAGGCTGAGGCAGGAGAATCGCTTGAACCCAGGAGGCGGAGGTTGCAGTGAGCCAAGATCGTGCCACTGCACTCCAGCCTGGGTGACAGAGCGAGATTCCGTCTCAAAAAAAAAAAAAGAAAAAAAGAAAATGACCTGAACATAAGTGTCAATTAGGCAGTTTGGGAAATAGCTAGCTAAGTAGCATTGCATTTCATATTTCATTTTTTTAACTATTAGAACTTTACACAATGCTTCTTAAACCGAAGTGCACATAAGAATCATCTCAGAGCTTCTCCAAAATGCAGATTTCTGGATCCCACAAACTCAGATGCTGATTATAGTAAATCAAGGGTTGAAAACCAGGGAACTGTACTTCAACAAGCACCGTTAAGTGATTCAAATTTGAGAAAAGCTGGCTTAAGGGTAAATAAATAGTACAATTTAAAAAATCTTACAGACAGGGTTTCAAATCATGTCATTATTTTAAATTGTGTAATCCTGGGGAAACTAATCTTTTTTACCTCAGTTTCTTCCATTATAAAGTGAAAATTAAAAATTACTTGAGCAAAGGGTCATTTTAAGGATCAAATGAGTCTGAATGTCCTACCACAGCACCGGGAGGATAGAAAGCACATAATAAATGCTGACTGTCATTATTATCACCACATATTTTCAAACCTTGACTCAGGGTAGTGCCAGTGCTTAGGGAAGTTTTTCTATGGGTACCCACAGTATTTACTCTTCTTTTGTAGCCCTGACCCAGGGCTTAAAAGTGTTTTTCATTTGTGTTCCTGCATACTCCAAGAGAAATCTCTTGCTTGCTTTTTTGAAGTCCCTAGATATAGAGTAATTACCCCTTTTTTGCTTATTGTCCACATATTCTTGTCACCATCCTGGTTTTATTATGTCAGCTCCCGTCATGCCATTTATCCAGTTTGCCACATGTGGCAAACAGTGATTATTTATAAAGAAATTGTAGTTCATTCCCTACCATATAATTACGGCAAATTGAATTCTAAGCCCAAACCCCTTTGCAAATAGTTTTTGGCTAAACAATCTGAAAACTGCCTGCCTGATAAAATTGGAGGAAACTGAGACAGGGGAGTGCCTTCAATTAAGGCACTACAAGCCCAGTTTGAATGAGCTAGACTTTAATTAGGACACAAGAAGCAATTTAGAGATAATCTCACTAAATCAAAAAACTGAATGATAAGCGTGAGCATTACTGTGCAGAGAAATGATTTTCCTGTTGAAGGAGATTATGGAGCACCTTAGAGCTGTAGGAAGTGGAAACGGACATGAATTATTTTTAAAGAAATGTGTACATTTATATATAACATTTGCACCTCAAAGAACGCTTTTGAAGTAATTACAAATTCAGTATAGCTAACTCGGAGGGACTGATGTTGTTTTGTCATTTAAGATATTAAAATAAAGTTTTACTCCAAGCGCTCTGGTAGGAGGTGGAATGCCAAGAAGTTTCTGAATAAAACAAATATCTGGGTCCAGCATTTTCCAGTTATTATTTTTCTCTCCTCCTCTTCTTTTTACTCACATTCTTTTTTGGTACATGTTCTTCAAACTGTGTTTCAGAAAATATGTATGATTCCCACCACTGTCATCTGGGCTATTTTTCTGGCTCAATTGCACAATATTGTGAAAGCATTCAACATCAGTTAAGAGTGACTGGAGTATGAATACAAACGAGGATCCACGCTGAAGCATTTTACTAGAAAATTAGTTGCAAAAACATATTACTTATGGAAATTACATGCACATTTATTAAAATAATGTTAAAAAATCCAAGTCCCTCACCCTGAATCCTTTTTCTTTTTTTTAACATCAAAACCATTTTTTTTTCTTTTGGAGGCAGGGTGTCACTCTGTCACCCAAGCTGGAGTGCAGCAGCTTGATCGTGGCTCACTGCAGCCTCGACCTCCTGGGCTCGAGAGATCTCCCACCTCAGCCTCCCAAATAACTAGGTCTACAGGCATGTAGTTTTTTGTAGAGACAGGGTTTCGCTATGTTGCCCAGGCTGGTCTTGAACTCCTCATCTCAAGCATCCTGCCCGCCTCTGTCTCCCAAAGTGCTGGGATTACAGGCATGAGCCACTACGCCCAGCCATCTTAACCATTTTAAAATGTACACTTCAGTGATACTAAGTAAAATTCACATTGTTGTGCACCCTTAGCCATTTTGATGAAGAATTTAAGACTCATTTTTGTATCAGTAGATTATGGAGGAGCATAATAGTCCTTCACAGAAAGAAGGAAAGAGCAACCTGAGAGACAGCTTTTACCTTCCCTCACACTTAGGGAGAGGTTTTTGACAGCTATGAGCACTGTACCTGGGAAAAGAATCACGGCAGTGCTGGGATGGGGATTTCAGACTCTTAAATATGATTCTTTCTATCCTGTGTCCTGACTCTTTTTTTAGACCTCAGCCTTGACTTTTTTAGACTTTTTAGACAAGCATGAAGTTTCTTGAAAATTTGCATGGATAATAAGGCTGCAACAGAGGCAGGCTCCTCTTTCTCAGTAGCAACATCTATTTGTAGAATAGCAGCAATGACAATGTCATAGCCCTAATGGGCCTTACAGAAGAAAAGAATATATACATCAATGTATACACATATACTAATGGTAGCACAAGTCTTGGAGATAATTTCGTGCTATAAGAATTCCAAAAAAAGGCAATTTCTGAAAGCTGGGATGATTGTTGCCTAATTGTTAAAATGACTGCGTTTACTTAATATAAATTTTATTTGAAATACTATGAAATAAAACATCAATAGAAATCTTGTATTATGTGCAAAATTTGAAATTACACTGTGCATCAAAGGAAAAAATGCAAGGATTTTGTAATTTCAAAGCCAGTCTGTAAAACTATTTATGTTAATGGCACATGATAGCTCCACTATAAGTAAAAAGAAATACCCAACACCCTTTGTCAATCTTCAGGGAAAATGGGTTCTGAATTATGAGAGCTGTGACTAATGAGTGATTTTCAGGAATGCATTTCTGTGTTAGATGCACTGCCCTTGTGCTCTGAAGGCTTTGATGTTCTTAAGGGCAGTTGGACTCATTATTCTGCATTATTTTCATTTTTTTCCTGGAGGAAACATAGCTACTCTAGTGTAGCAGGGCAAACCTTGTGGATGAAACGGAAATATCTTACAAAATGTAAACCTCTTGTATTAAAAAGTTAAAATTCCGGCCGGGTGCGGTGACTCACGCCTGTAATGCCAGCACTTTGGGAGGCCGAGGAGGGCGGATCACGAGGTCAGGAGATCGAGACCATCCGGGCTAACATGGTGAAACCCCGTCTCTACTAAAAATACAAAAAAATTAGCTGGACGTGGTGGCGGGCGCCTGTAGTCCCAGCTACTCAGGAGGCTGAGGCAGGAGAATGGCATGAACCCAGGAGGCGGAGCTTGCAGTGAGCCAAGATGGCACCACTGCGCTCCAGCCTAGGTGACAGAGTGAGACTCCATCTCAAAAAAAAAAAAAAAAAAGAAAAAAGTTAGATTTCCAGGATCTCTTTCTAATGGCCGAAGATTAGAGATCATGGCTTGTGGAGCACATCTCATCTTCACTTTCTGTGAATGGGACCAATGCAGGAATTGAAAAATAGAGCCTCACATTGACAAGACAGAAATCTATTGCTAGGACTTTGCAAGATTTATTAAGAAAGTGGTCAGTGTTTTAAAATGACGGCTAATTTCACCCAGAAGCATGGAAAAAGGCACTCATTCAGCCATTGTCTGCTTATTAATAAAAACCTGTAGCTTACATAGTGAAGCTGAGTTGCCCTGAGAATTACACCAGCTGTCTTTCTGACTAAATTCAAGCAGTGGCTTTAACTGACCTTTTTTTTTTTTTATCTGAATTAAGATCATTTGGGCCACACCTATGAGCTGAGGTCTAGTTCAGATTTGTTGGAGAATGCTCACCCATCAGTAATTTTTTGACTGATTCAAGCCCCTTGACCAATGGACATTAGAGGATGAATGAGAAAGTGGAATACATTAAGTAACTTAGAATGAAGAAAAATCATAGCATAAGAGATACATTTTTGACACTTTGTAACATGTAAATTATAATTAATACATAAATTTGCACCAATTACTTGACTCAAGAGCTCAAAACTTTCTGTAATGGGTTTGAAGCACAAAAATACAGTGTTTATAGTCAGAGTGCAGCCTTTACTTTCAATAATGGTTATGGAAAGCAAGTTTGGCTTTAGGTTGTAAAGAGTTTTTCAGTGCCAAGGCATTTGACTGCCCTTTCTTTCTTATTCTCCATTGTCTTGCAGACCAGATGATGTGCTTCTGCATCGCACTCATGATGAGATTGTCCTCCTGCATTGCTTCCTCTGGCCCCTGGTGACATTTGTGGTGGGCGTTCTCATTGTGGTCCTGACCATCTGTGCCAAGAGCTTGGCGGTCAAGGCGGAAGCCATGAAGAAGCGCAAGTTCTCTTAAAGGGGAAGGAGGCTTGTAGAAAGCAAAGTACAGAAGCTGTACTCATCGGCACGCGTCCACCTGCGGAACCTGTGTTTCCTGGCGCAGGAGATGGACAGGGCCACGACAGGGCTCTGAGAGGCTCATCCCTCAGTGGCAACAGAAACAGGCACAACTGGAAGACTTGGAACCTCAAAGCTTGTATTCCATCTGCTGTAGCAATGGCTAAAGGGTCAAGATCTTAGCTGTATGGAGTAACTATTTCAGAAAACCCTATAAGAAGTTCATTTTCTTTCAAAAGTAACAGTATATTATTTGTACAGTGTAGTATACAAACCATTATGATTTATGCTACTTAAAAATATTAAAATAGAGTGGTCTGTGTTATTTTCTATTTCCTTTTTTATGCTTAGAACACCAGGGTTTAAAAAAAAAAAAAAGGTGAGGACATCTGGGTCTCATTTGCTTCTGCTAGGTTAAACTTTTACTTGACAACAAGGATTCCTGCTGAAGTCTGAACCTTACTGTGTAACCCTCAGTTTCCACTATTAAAGAGTATCTTTTGACGTCTGCTTGGAAAATGAATAGTATACTGGTAACTCAGTCTCCAGTCACCTCTGTGTCTCTTAAGCAAGAGATTCTAAAAGATTGGGAAAACATATCCTCCAACACCTGCCTTTGCCTAACCATTATTTTTCACCAGATTACTTCTTAAGAGAGGGAGGTGATTCTGAAGAAGGCTTCTATCTCAAAAAGCACTGGGCTTCCTTATTCATCTGTTCTTGTTGTTTTTGACGGAGTTAAAAAAGTTTGTGTGCAATACAATATACATGATGTGAAGGACACTCTTCAGCTTAGTGAAACGCTGTTTTCATTTTTTTTTTTTTTTGTAGGTCAGAAAAAAACAACAAAATCAGTTCAAGCATTTTTTTTTCTTTGTCCTTGCCTTGATGTTATGAGTATTAAAACCAGGAGGATTGCTGCCATTGTGCAGTTTGCTTAGACAAACCTGGAGATGCAACCCAGCTCACATCATTGCTACTGATGAGCTTTCTGTGCCTTTATCAAAAGTTGATTGAGAAGACCATATTTCTTTGTATCTTTTTATAAACTCAAATTCCAAGTATCAAATCGCAGGTCTCAGTGAACATCAAACCTATTTACTACATAGAATCAAACCTTTGTTTAGGTGAGATGTACATCGTTAGTGGAGGAAAAACTGACAACCTAATTTCATTTGTTTTCTTCTGATACTCTTCAGACATGCCTCTATTAGAATAAAGGTAAACTGGAATTTAAAGACAAGTTCCCCTCAGTTATTTCCATGGAGCTGTAATATGTATATATGGAGTGATGGTTTCCTGACCTTTAGTCCACATACCAATGTTTTCTTTTTTCTTTTTTTTTTTTTTTTTTGAGATGGTGTCTCACTCTGTTGCCAGGCTGGAGTGCAGTGGCACGATCTCGGCTCACTACAGTCTCCACCTCCTGGGTTCAAGTCATTCCTCTGCCTCAGCCTCCCGAGTAGCTGGGACTACAGGCACGCACCACCACGCCTGGCTAATTTTTTTGTATTTTTAGTAGAGACGGGGTTTCACCGTGTTAGCCAGGATGGTCTCAATCTCCTGACCTTGTGATCTGCCCACTTCACCTCCCAAAGTGCTGGGATTACAGGCCAATGTTTTCTTAATCTTAGAATGTGAATAACTGAAAATCATAGTCTGTGGAAAGGTGTTGAATTGAGTATAATCTTCTTCTGTTTATTTTTGTGTTTTGTTTTTTAACAGATGGGTATCTTGCTATGTTGCCCAGGATGGAGTGCAGTAGCTATTCACAGGTATGATCATAGCACACTGCAGCCTCAAGCTCCTGGGCTCAAGCGATCCCCCTCCCTCAGCCTCCCAAGTATCTGGGGTTACTGGTGTGCACCACCGTGCTTGGCTCCAATAATTTTTTTTCTAATTCAAAAGTTACAGTTTCACTGTGAAAAAGGCCTTGAACACACTATTTATGACATCTTTTGAGGCAGCTCCAGTGCCTTGACTTCAATCCCAGTTTCCGGTTGCAGCATCCTTGTTGTCTTAGCAACACAGTGAACTATTCTGAAGCATAGAGTAACACGAAACTGGGAGTCCGAGAAATAATCATCTCTGCATCACATTATGGGAGACGAAGTCTGCTTTATCCATTTTATCTTTATTCAGTTGTCTATGATTAATTGATTACAGAGTAGTAGATTAGAATAGTGCATGGATATACATTTGTGTTGAAAAAAGGGGAAGTTGATATATATCAATCTTAGTTTTCATTTATCAGTTTGATATTCATGCATTTACACTAAACGCTTCCATTTATCCCGAAAAAGTATATGCAACTGTATTCTGTAGGTTGATTTTTGGAAAAGGGGAGAAGCACACTGAATTCATAAGGTCACATGTAGTCTTAAGGTCTTACTTGCTTACAGCCAATTAAATTTGAAGCACCTTATTTATACTTGTTAAAGGTAAAACCCAAAAGAACAAGCAGAGGACATTTTAAGGTCATAAAAGGTAAATAAGCTTACCTTCTTAATGTTTTCATTCTCTTTTTGTATAAATCAGAAAATGATCTAAACTGCTGTAACAAAGAGACCCCAAAATATGATGGCTCATGTAAGATAATTTATTTTTTTCTCACATAGCAATCCAGAAGTGGCTTCATTTCACAAGGTATTCAAGGGATATAGGAGTCATCTACCTTGTTAGTTCTCTTAATACCCAAGGGTATTGTTCTTTCCATGGTCAAAGCTGGCTCAAGACTTCCTAGCCTGTGAAAAAAGAAGAAGGTGGAGCAAGCCATTTCCTTTTTAGGAAATTACAGCCATCACTTCTGCCCACCGTCCATTCATGAATACTTACTATATAGCTATACCTAGCTTCAAGAAAGCCTGGGACGTGTCTCTAACTAGATGGACATGTGCCCTACTAAAACTCCAGGGAAAGGGTTCTATTACTAAAGCTAAAAAGAGGGGAATGAATACTAGAGTTAAAGACAAAAATGATAGCAGCCAATGGCCCATGCCGTGATAATCTGCTGAGCAGGCATGATGGAGATCCCTTGCCCAGCAGAAAGTGTTCCTTGGTGAAATCATGAATCTGCTATCTAGGAGAAACTCCCTTGTCCATTGTCTTCTGTGGCCACTAGTTTGACCTCTAGGAAAGTCTTGCTCGTCAGCTTCTGTGGCCCCGTCTGAAACTTTTGAGGGACATCGCAGCTTTTGCAGCCCCTGCTTGCTGGTGCAGACTTTTAGACCTAGATTGCCTTAGAGACTGAAAAATATACGCTTTTATAGGCCGGGGTTTTAGTTCATTTGACTGTAATAAAGACGTCAATGCCGTTTTTAATGTTTGACTGCTGACATCTTTCAAGACTCACCTTTCCCTTCTCCCTTATGCTGCACATCTGGGCAAGCTGATGGAAGCATGGGTGCCTCCTCCTTTGGCCCCAGCAGGAAGTTCAAATCACGCAAGCCCTGGCATGCATGCAGGAAGCTTCACCCCAGCCTCACACTCTAAGACGGATAAAAGCCAAACCAATTAAGCCGTTTCTCGACCCTCCTGGGAGCCTGCCCTATCTCCCTGGAAAGTCTCAGTATGTGAGTAATAAACCTTTTTATACCCATTTCTTGTGTGTGTGGCATTATCAGTCTCAGCATCCGAACTGAATTCGTGGTAATTTTCTATGAATTTTGGGAGGAGGAAGTTCATCTGACATCTTAAGGGTCATCATAGCATTGGTGACATCATTTTATCAAAAATACTAGAGGTTTCTGGTTCATTTGCTTTCAGTCAGTTCATGTGAAAGTAGCCACAGCCAAAGAGCTGTTCTAGTTATAGTTCTTTAAGCCAGCAATGTGTTATTTATTAGTCACTGTGCCTGGCCCATACCTCTGTCCCTCAAATTAATGGCAGCCATCTTGAAGTCTTCTCCAACAATGAGTTTAAGTGGTGATGCAACATTCTTCATCTGATCTTTTCTGCCGAAATGACTCCCATTGTCTGACCAGTAACACAATGGAGACTTTTTTTTTTTTTTTTTTTTGAGACGGAGTCTTGCTCTGTCACTCAGGCTGGAATGCAGTGGCGTAATCTTGGCTCACTGCAACCCCTGCCTCCCGGTTCAAGCAATTTTCTTGCCTCAGCCTCCTGAATAACTTAGATTACAGGCTTCTGCTGGCTAATTTTTGTATTTTTTAGTAAAGACAGGGTTTCACTATGTTGGCCAGGTTGATCGTGAACTCCTGACCTTTGGTGATCCCCCCATCTCGGCGTCCCAAAGTGCTGAGATTACAGGCGTGAGCCTCTGCACCCAGCCACAGTGGTGACTATTGAACAAAACTGAATAATAGTCACATCTCCTGCTCCCTTGAATGCAGAAGCAATTGTACTTCAGGGCATGGTGTTATCTACTTGCAAACTTTTTATTTTTTGATCTTACAGCAACTACTTTTGATAGTACCTCACTAAAAACATCAGCAAGGAGCCACCAATATACATTAACCACTCTGGTTCTAACTGCTTTCCCCATAGCTAGTCTGCCTTTCAAATTGTTGCTGGTGTCAGTTTTACCTAGTGATTGGTCAAAACATAACAAGGGTCTCTAGTTTTTCATCCTGCAATATCTGTTTCCACACTGCCGGTTGCCTGGCAACACAATACCAGAGCCACATATTTTAGATTTTTGTTATGATGGCACTTTTCCATTCCTACGTATCAGTCAGCTAGAGCTGCATAACAAATAGCAAAGACTGGGTGGCTTAAACAACCAAAATTTGTTTTTTAACAGTTCTGAGGGCCAAAAGTTCAAGGTCAAAGTGTTGGCAAGTTTGGTTTCTCCTGAGGCCTCTCTCCTTGGCTTGCAGATGGCTCCCTTCTTGCTGTGTCCTTACACTAGGCACTTGTGCCCCTAATGTCTCCCTGTGTGTTCCAGTGTTCTCTTATAAGGACACCAGTCTTATAAGATTAGGGCCCCTCTCTATGATTTCATTTAACCTTAATTATCTCCTGAAAGGCCCTATCTTCCAATATAGTTACATTGGGGCTTTGGCCTTCAACCTATAAATTTTGGGGGTCTACAACTTAGTCCATAATATTCTGGTACTGAATTTAAAACTATTAGGGTGTCGGCTAAGCCACTGTAACAGAGAAACCCCCAAATACTGTAGTTCCAATAAGATAATTTATTTTCTTTCTTGTAGCCATCAGGAGGTAGCCCATGAAATTGTCCAGGGACTTATATTTATTCTACCATTATTTTTACTCTATTATTATTTTATATTATTATTATACTTATTCTACCATTTATTCTGCCATTCCCTAGAGTGTCCTCTTCATAGTGGTCAACCTGTGGGATGGAGAAGAGAAAAGTAAAGGGCAAGCACATACATTTGAATAAAATGAGATAGAAGTTGCACACATCAAGTTTGTATATTCTTTTGGTAAGAAATTAACTGCAGAGGAACCTCTTGCTGAGCAGCCATGCCTTCTAAAACCTGGGACAGAGATTTTATTATTAAAATGAGGAAAGGGAGAATGAACGGGGGGGAGGATTATCAGTTCCTTCCTACATTCCTCTTCTATACATCTTACATTTTGTATTGAGTATGAGAAGAGACCTGAAATTTAGATGATTCTTTACATTTTTATTTATCTAAAATTGAAGTTTACCTAATTTAGTTTAATTTAATTATTTTACTGATTTAAATTAATCAGAATTTTCTTAAAATTCAGTAAAAGAAAAAAACGTAAGGGAAGCTTTGTTGCTTTGCAAAATAGGGAGATATTTCAGGAAGGTAAGGGGAGAGGTCTATCCTACAGTATGGAGTACAGAAGTGGGACTTAGAGATAGCCAAGAGAGTTTGAAATATTCAAAGAATATATACAATAGAATCTGTAGCCTTTTTTAAAAAAAAAATTAGAATTTCCATCTCTCTGAATGTATTCCAGTTGTAAAAAAAAAATGTATTGAGTGTCCCATCATATGGAAGTTTTTAAAATTGTAGGAAATAAAATATTCAGAAGGCTACACAAGGTATTAAAAAAGGGGACAGGGATATAATAGCTTACTAGCTTATTAGAATGAATTTGGTTCCTTATGAGGGATAATCTAGAGAAAAGAGGCATAGAATAAGATCTTTGGAACCAAACAGTCTGAGTTTGAATCCTGGCTCTCCCTTTTGGCATCTGTGTGATCTTGGGCAAGCTACCTAATTTCTATTACAGCTTTGTTATCTCAACTGTAAAATGAGGCTGATATTGATATATCATTGGAGAGGACTAAATGAGACCATGCAAAATGTGTACTTGGCACAGTGCCTGATCCACAAATACTGATGATGATGATGATGATGATGGTGGTGGTGGTGGTGGTGATGATGGTGATAATAACAGTGATGATGATGGTAGTATAGCATTAGTGCAGCAAAAAGGAAAAATGGACTCAAAACTAATTTTTCCTAAAAATTTGTGCTTTTATTTATCAGATGCTTCTAACTTAGTCCCCACCAGTCTAAGACTAGAACAATATTGGGATTTTCCTTTTCAGAAGTTCTATCATTGGCAAGTTGTTTTTATTTCCAGAACTCCAACTCAGAAGAAATCACCTCTGAATTCATTGTCTATTTAATAAAGTCAAGATTCTTCAAATTCTCCATTTTATTCAGTATTAAATAACTTTCAAAATATGGCTATCTTGAAAGTCTCCACTTCCTCATACTTAGCAATTTCCAGCATTATTTAAAAAAAAAATGTGTCTTTTCTTTGATGCAAAGCAATTACTGGGATACTTTCTTCTCAGAGAGGAAATGCAAAGAACATGATCCTTTCTGCCTGGTCCCTGTACAACATTGAAAACAACTGGGGTAATTTTTTATTAATGCATTTGTTAAAAAGATGCAACATTTCTATCTCCAAGAAGTTTGAAATATATAAAATGTATTCTGTGTCTCATTATCAGGTCTCTGACTCAGAGTAACTTTTACAAAGGTTTTTATCTTTTTTTCCCCTCTATGCTTCCCAAAGCATGACTAATGAGGCTGATGAATGTCATCATAGGAGCGCCGCGTTTCTGGCAGGTAGAAAAAGATCACATTAGGGCTTGGACTTCCAAGTGACATCTAGAAGCAATGAGAAATTCAAACAAGACTACCCTGAGTCTATGCAGGAATTGGTAGTGTTTGAAATTTGGGAGAAATGTTTTAATTTTTGTGAAAGTCAGTGGTGTTAAAGGTCAGAAATGTAACTACCTCCAGAGTTCTAGCATTCAGGGTAGTGAAGATGTGGTGAGAGTTAATGAAATAAAATCAAGAAAGGAAAAACATACATGTTGGTGTCAGGAGATGTGTCTGGTTAAATGTCAGTTCTTGTTCACAGCAAGTAGAAATGTTCAGTCTTTCAGAGTCACTGCCAAAGGCACCATATACATTTCTCCACATCAGGAACCTGAGAATCGTTTTCTCTTTTCCCAATTCTACAAGGGTTTATAATTCACAGAACCGTGCAGGGATCGCTTTTGGACATTTGTCCCCTTTACCAGACAGCAGTTAATGAACTTGCATCTCTGCTTTAAGCTTAGGACACCTAGGTGAAAGCAGCCACTGCTGAATTAGTGTGTACTTCATTAGAAAACTAATGTGAGGAAGATTCCTGGTGGAAATATGGCAGTGGTTTCTGAGCCTGTGGGCTAGGCAGTGCTTAGTTAGAATCTCAGACCCTGATCCTCCCAGCTCACTCTACCCACAAAGAACAACATATACATATTTATTCTTCTGCCAGTGCTTGAAATCAAGCTTGATCAGCCATGGCAGTAGGATGGGAGGTGACCTAGAACAGACTATGGGAAAGTGAGAAGAGAGTCTCTGACTGGGATGATGTTGATGTGTTCTTGAGGATGTCTTTCTGCATACACCTAGCTGTCTGCAATTATCACTAAGGTGACCTAGAAAATACAGCCAAAGAAACATATACTGAATAATTGTGGGGTATAGTACTATCCTGTTATCTGGTAAATATTAGATATATTTCTTCTCTATAGGATTTTCCGTACATTACCATAATGGATGAGACCCATCCATTCCCTAGCTTTTCTGTGATCTCAGCTGTGATTACCAGATTATTATCTCTTGTCCCCTGTTTCAAGCTCTGGATGTATATCACAATAGCTCAGATGCATTCTTATGTCTCTGTCTCAAGCTTACTGATGGACGGAAATTACAATAACAGAGTAATGGGACAAAATATTCTCAGACAACATGGATAGGGAGCCATTTGCCTGGCTCAGATAATGTGTCCTTCTGAAAAGTTACCATATCAAACCATATAACAACCTTTTCCTAATACCTCAACATTTTCATTACACGCTCTGCAGTTCAGTTGCACTGTACTTTTCTCAGGACCTTGAGCCTCTCTTCTCATCATGTTTCAATATCTGGTTCTTCTGATCCATCAGGTCTAAGCTTAAATATTGACTCTTTCCTGAAGTCCTTTGTATGTATGGTGATCTTATGTAAGCAGATTTCTCCTGTCATTCTCTCCTCTTCATGCCGCTTTCTTCTTTTCTAGTACTTTTAATTGCTTTATTTATTTATTTATTTGTGTACTTGTCCATTACTTATCTCTCTTCCTAGTTCTAAGATTCATGAAGGTAGAACAATGTTGATGGGCTTTTTTTTCCACCACTGACACAGTGCCATATTTATGGAATGAATGAATGTCCTTCCCTGCCTTGGGAAATTTTATTCCACTTTCAAGGCCCAACCTCATCCCTTTATGCTTCCCCGAAGAATTAATCACTTCTTCCTCTGTGATCCCACAAAAATGTGTACATACATCTATCATTTTAAGAATTTAGCATGTATTACAATAATTTATCTTGTGTTATATGGCTGTTAATTCACTGATTCTTTCTTACCTCTCCACCTTGTGAGACAAAAAACATAATTTATTGACCTTTTTATCCATATGATAATAATAATAATTCCCAACTCTTATTAAGTGCTTTCTGTGTGCATTTAAGTTTTTTTTATCAAACATCATTCTAAACTCTTCATTAAAGGTTGGCAGAATGAGACATTAAGCATACTACCTAGGGCATAGTTAACCCTGTAAAATGTAAATGAATGAATAATAAATATCTATTCCAATCTTGGTCTTAAAAACTTATGATGAAGATAAGGTAATGTACTTAAATATTATATACTACTCTTTAAACAGATAGACAGCAGAAAAATTACTGTGTTCACTATCAAATTACCCTAAAACATAGCAACTTAAAACAACAGACGTTTTTTATCTCACACAGTTTCTGAATTAGGAAGTAAGGAATCTGGAAGTAGCTTAGCTGTAATTCTAAATTATTTTTGGTAAAATTATGCCACTTAGAAAGATAAGTCTATAGATTAGGGTTATAGTGGAATAAACATTAGCTCGTTAGCAGGAACCCTGCAGAATTATAGTGGGGAACTTTTTATAAGAATACTGGGATTTGATATATTTGATAAGAATAGTGTATTTGACAGACATCTTACAACAAAAAGTGAGCAAAGTCCAAGTGTCTGCTTTCTTTGGGGAGGGGAATGAAGAGTCTTCCAAAAGAAGTAACTGGAGACGTCAGGGATAGTCTTTTTAATAACTTCAGATAGCTTTCAAGAGTAGATACTGAAACATACATGACCCTTAAGCTTTCCTCACTTTTTGTGAACAGCCTTAAGCCAGAAATAGGGCTTAACACTGCCTTCCCCATGGAAACACTGAAATTGGGAATAGCCCTATGGCCAGATCTTTAACACCTAACTGAAATTTTTGAAAGAGGCCTAGACACTGGGCGCGGTGGCTCACGCCTGTAATTCCAGCACTTTGGGAGGCTGAGGTGGGTGGAACACGGGAGGTCCAGTCCGAGACCAACCTGACCAACATGGAGAAACCCCGTTTCTACTAAAAATACAAAATTAGCCGGACATGGTGGTGCATGCCTGAAATCCCAGCTACTCGGGAGGCTGAGGCAGGAGAGTCGCTTGAACCTGGGAGGTGGAGGTTGCAGTGAGCCGAGATCACGCCATTGCACTCCAGCCTGGGCAACAAGAGTGAAACTCCGTCTAAAAACAAACAAACAAACAAAGGGCCTAGAGCCCTCAGACCTAGAATAAACTTATGCCTTTACAGATAAAAACTAATAAAAGCATCCAGGGAAAGAAGACCCTTGATAAAGAAGTATGTAAATACTGTAAACAGAAAAGATATTGGAAAAACAATTGTGCTAGTTAACAAACTGAAGGGGGGAAAAGGTCAGTAAAAAATAAAGTTGCTCTAAGGGGGACTCAAGTACCCAATTAACCATTTTATTTTTATTTTTATTTTTTTTCTGAGACGGAGTCTCGCTCTGTCGCCCAGGCTGGAGTGCAGTGGCGCGATCTCGGCTCACTGCAAGCTCCGCCTTCCGGGTTCACGCCATTCTCCTGCCTCAGCCTCCCAAGTAGCTGAGACTACAGGTGCCTGCCACCACACCCGTCTAATTTTTTGTATTTTCAGGAGAGATGGGGTTTCACTGTGTTAGCCAGGATGGTCCCGATCTCCTGACCTTGTGATCCGCCCACCTCGGCCTCCCAAAGTGCTGGGATTACAGGTGTGAACCACTGCGCCCGGCCGCTTTACTCTTAAGTTCACGAGAAAAATTTATGTCAATGTTATAGAACAGTCTTGAAAATGTTTTTTTGATGATGAGTATTAGAATACCTCCCTTTAACTCAGGTGCTGAGATATCACATCTCCCAGAAGGTCAACAAACTACTCAGGTGGTGGGATCTATTGTGTAAATGAATCTGCCAGATTAACTGCTCCACTAAACACCTCTTCTTTGAGATCCATAGGGACTTCCCTATTAAAACACAGGCCAAGGCTAGTTTGAAAATGTACTGGTATCCTTGTGCCTAAATCAAGCTCACATTGAAGGTCTCTATAATGTCCTGTACTGGCCTCCTTATGGACTTAAAGTTCTACTGATATACGTAGTGTAGGGGAGGAAAAACTTTTCTTCAACCCTCGTTGGTTCAGTAACTGGGGCCCTGCAAATTAAACTGACCAAAAATAGGCTAGCAGGATAAATAGTTATGTATGCACCCAGAGGCATCCACAGAAACAAAATGAAGACAAAGAAACAGACTTGGAGGCTTTATATACCATTTTAACAAACAGCAGTATAAAGAAGTGGCAAGACAAAGGAAAGGGAGTTCAGCCTTGTAGGGGTGGTAAATTGTGGATTTTCCTGGTATGAAAGAGTGAAGGGAGGACGTTTTCTTAAACAAAAATTTATGCCCTGCTTTCAAGCAAGTAGGGGGAGGGCACAGAGCTTTTCTGTGCCTGCTATTTCTTGATTGCCTTCAGCTTAAAATAATTCTTATGTCAAAGAGGAAAATTTTGGGGTGGCATACTCTGATCTGTAGAATTCAGTAGAATTTTTAGGGCTGAATCTATCAAGGTTATGTTGACACATTCAAAACATATTCAAGCTTGCACAATAACTTCTAAAAACAGTAGATAAAGAACTAAAATCAATAGTTGAAAGCCTAATTTAAAAAAAAGACTCTCTGGCTGGGCGTGGTGGCTCACGACTGTAATCCCAGCACTTTGGGAGGCCGAGGCAGGCAGATCACCTGAGGTTGGAAGTTTTGAGACCAGCGTGACAAACATGGAGAAACCCCATCTCTACTAAAAATACAAAAAAATTAGCCGGGCTTGGTGGTTGCATGCCTATAATCCCAGCTATGCAGGAGGCTGAGGCAGGAGAATTGCTTGAACCCAGGAGGCAGAGGTTGCAGTGAGCCGAGATTGTGCCATTGCAATCCAGCCTGGGCAACAAGAGCGAAACTCCGTCTCAGAAAAAAAAAAAAAAAAAAAAAAAAAAAAAAGACTCACCATAACTTGTACTGGTCCTTACGTCAAATAACACAATCTGCAATGATATATATTAGTTTAGGACCTCAGGGTCATAAACAAAACTGCCATTCCTGAACTTTCTGTATACTGAGCTCTAATACTATTTTCTTGTGGGGTTACATATTCTGGACTTAGAAATCTGTGCTATGCCCTCTTTAGTGGTTCCTTAGGGTAGATTGAAATAGTTAATCGTGCTCACTTTTTCCTGGTAAAGTCAACGATATGCTTTGACAGTTATGCTTTAGTGATTTACCTTTTTTTCACAAGTTCATGATTAGGACCTTCTGAACCTTAAATTTCCTTGAAACTCTACTTGTATCCCATATGTAGATGACCACTTGTTATATTCTAAAAATGAGTTGAGCTCTCTTAGTCATTTATGTTCTTACAGTTTTAACTCAGAAAGGACTTAAAGTTAGAAGGAAAGTTACAATTTTCTCAAAACAGATTGTGTGACTTAGATCAAGATTTATTCAAGAGTAAATACCCCACTTAGGACAGAGGAAAAGCCATTCAACGGTTTTCCAGGCCAAAGCTACACACCATGATATACACCTGTAGTCCTAGCTTCTCAGGAGGCTGAGGCAGGAGCAGGAGGATCTCTTGAGCCCAGGAATTTCAGCCTGTCTAGGATTGCTCCAGTGAATAGCAACTGTACTCCAGCCTGGGCAAAAAACCAAGATCCCATCTCTAAAACAAAAACAAACACAAACAAACTTTTCTGGGCCAGTTATTCAGAGTCAATTAAGAGGATTCCAACTGTCCTAAAATCATCATGACTCTATCTGATTTAAACAAGTTTTAAATAATCAAAACTCTTCCTTGGGAGCCTAGATATGAGCCAGCATTTTATGATTTAAAATGAGATTTTTAACATCTTCATATGCTGAGTCATCTTAAGTATTTTAAACCACTTTACCTATTTGCATATAAGCAATGATGGACAAGCCCTTAGTATTCTGACTCAGCTTTATAGCATTTATCAGAGACTTGCTACAGCTTTCCTCTTGACCCAATGGCAAAAGTGCACCTTCCTTGTCTCAGGGCAATAGCAACTCAGCTAAATTAGTGAAGGCTACTGCTAACTCACTCGTAGGGTCTCCCTTAGACTCAATGGACCCTCATCATGTACAATAGTTGCATGCTAAAAATTCACTATATTTCTTTCTTTTTTTACTTTATTCAATCTGTAGAGATTGTCAAAATTTTCCGATGCCAACTGTATTGCAAATCATCACCACCGGGTATTGGGAAGTTTTCAATTAGCAATAATCACACCTCAGAAAAACCTCACTGGCTGCATGAAGCTGAAAATGTACTTAAAGGATATGCTTACTATTCATGAAATTTTATTGCTTTCTCACTTACGTTTCCTTCCCTGGTAGTACCATAATATATGTACTGTTGCTTTCCTTCTTTTACCAGAAGAAGGGGTAAATCATGACTGCCTAACCTCTGGCCAAGAACAGTCCATGCCCTAAACAGATTAGAAACTCTTCCAGAAAATTGAGAGTTAGCCTTGTTTGTTCATGGCGATACTGTTTGGATTTGTGTTCCTGCCCAAATCTCATGTCAAATTGTGATCCTCAGTGTTGAAGGAGGGGCCTGAAGGGAGGTGACTGGATCATGGGGGCAGATTTTTTCCCTTGCTATTCTCATGATAGTGAATTATCGTGAGATCTGGCTGTTTCAAAGTGTGTAGCACCTTTCCCTTTGCTCTCTTCCTTCTGCTGAAGCCATGTAGGACATGCCTGCTTCTACTTCACCTTCTGCCATAATTGGAAGTTTCCTGAGACCTCCCTAGCCATCCTTCCTGTACAGCCTGCAGAACCCATGAGCCAATTAAACCTCTTTTCTTTATAAATTACCCAGTCTCAGGTAGTTCTTTATAACAATGCAAGAATGGACTAATACAGAAAATTGGTACCAGGAGTGAGGCACTGCTGTAAATATACCTGAAAATGTGGAAGCAGCTTTGGAACTGGGTAATGGGCAGAGGTTGGAACAGTTTGGAGGGCTCAGAAGAAGACAGGAAGGTGAGGGCAAGTTTGGAACTTCCTAGAGACTTGTTAAATGGCTGTGACCAAAATGCTGATAGTGATATCGACAGTGACGTCCAGGCTGAGGAGGTCTCAGATGGAAATGAGGAACTTATTGGGAACTGGAGTAAAGGTAACTCTTGATATGCTTTAGCAAAGAGATGGCAGCATTGTGCCCCTGCTCTAGGGATCTGTGGAACTTTGAACTTGAGAGTGATGATTTAGAAAAAATGGCAGATGAAATTTCTAAGTGCAGCTTGCTCTTCAGTGAACACCAATAAATAAGTATTCAGACAGTTACAGCTGAACAGGGCGGGGAGCAGCTCCTCCAAGGGAGTGCTGCTTTAAGATCTGTCTGCCAGGTATTTACTGAGAAGGCTTGTTAAACTACAGTTTAGACAAATAAGAAACATCCACCAGGTGGCTATTTGGGGTCGGGTCATGAGGTGCATATGGCCTCTGTTTATTACGTCTGAAAGCACTCAAACCACATTCTTAGGAGGCTGTGTTCAGCACTCCTTATCACACATCCTGTTCCTTGTCTTGTTTTCAGGGTCAAGGAGTTACAGTCTCATGCACAAACAACATACACACAGTGCCTCAGTATTTTTCCATGCTTCGATCTCAAATGCCTTGTACATAAGCTTGACTGTATTGTTGTACACCCCCCCATATCGCCCCCTTTTTTGTTTATTAATATATACTTTAAGAGTTCGATGAGCTTGTTCAACAATGGCCTGACCAGTTGAGTTATAAGGAATACCAGTTTTATGTTGTATGTGCCAATGTTTCAATGCATATGCAAATCGAGCGCTAAGATAGCGAGGACCATTATCAGTTTTTATAGTTTTTGGAAGGCCTAAGGTCATAATAGATTTTAAAAGATGAGCAATTGCTCTTTAGTTTTTTGTCCAGTCCAGGGAGTAGCATGTTTCAGGCCCGTATAAGTGTCCACAGTAACGTGGAGAAATTTAAAGCATTCAAAGGTAGATGCTGAGTAATATCAGTGTACCAGATAGCATTAGGTACCAGACCTCATGGGTTGGCACCAAGTTCCAATGAAAAAGGGGAGAGAGAATGCCCTTGGCAATCAGGACAAGTTTTAATAATCATGCGAGCTTGAGCAAGCGTTAAATGAAACTGTTGTGTAAGACTGCGGGCGTTCTGATGAAAAAAAGGAATGATCAGCTTGAGCTCACAAAAAAGCAAGAGAGTCTGAAAACCACATCTGTGGTTGTACCAGAGCATCAACTCAAACATTCCCTTCTGACAGGGACCAGGTAGCCCAGAATGAGAGCGAATATGTGTGATATAAAGGGGGTGATGACGGGCACAGAGGAGCTCCTGCACTGTGAGAAGTAGGGTTAGTAGGGGTTCATTAGTAGTGCCTTTCAGATGTGCGAGATCTAAATGAGTAATACTACACACCGCATAAGAGGAATCACTAATTATATTTATGTCTTGGTGAGGAAAAGTTTGTAAGGCCAGCATTAGGGCACCTAACTTTGCCTGTTGCATAGTTTTGAAATGTTCCTGGATTTTGTGCTGCCAGTTTTGCATGGCATCTTGCACACTATACCTGCCTTTTTTGTTTTTCCTGAATCATCTGTAAAGACAGTAGTGGCGTGAGGCAAGGGCTCAGAAACAACAATAGATACGAATTTTTAACAGGTACAGTTTGTAAAAAGTTCAGGAGCTTAGAGGCTGGTAAATGGAAACTGATATTACCAACAAAGTCGGCCATTGCAACTTGCCAATCAAGATCACAAGCTAACAGAGTATGAAATTGTTCCTTGCTTAAAGGTAAGAAAAGAGTAGCAGGGTCATATCCTGACAATTGGATGGCATCCCTTTATGAGAAGAGAAGCTATTAAATCTGTGGTCTTTTGTATGGGTTTAGAGGGGTTATGAGGCAGGTAAAGCCACTCCAAAGGAGACACATCTGTTCCAACTTGCCCAAGCATCCTTGTAGGGCTATGAGAGGTATTAAAAAGATCTAGAGGTCTGTCAGGATCTAAACGCGAGATGCACCATTGGGCCAAGGCTTGCTCCACAGTGTTAAGGTCTGCCTGTGCTAGTGGAGAGAGGTCTCGCAGCAAATTTAAAGCAGGGTGACCTTTCAGGGTGACAAAAGATTAGTCAAGGAATTTGCAGGAATGCCTAAATAGGGACATATCCAATTAATCTGTCCGAAGACTTGCTGTAATGTATTAAGGGTTAAGTGCTGTGGAAGAATTGTTTTTGTAAGTTGTGGCCTAGGGGTAGTAGATAAAATAAGACTTCCTAGATAGAGCCACAGAGATGTCAGCTGGACTTTTTTGTGTGTGTAATAACAAGACCATACTATGACATACGCTATATTACCATTGTGTAAAGTTGATGCAGTAATGACTGGTATTGAGCAGCTATCAAAATATCATCCACATAGTGGAAGATTTTTGCCTGGGGGAAGGATGGACGCACAGAAAGTAAGGCTTCAAGTACGTAAAGCTGACATGTAGTGGGCTATTTATCATCTCTTGGGGTAGAACTCTCCATTGATAACGTTGAACTGGTTGCTGATTGTTATAAGTGGGAATGGTAAAAGTAAATTTTTCTCGATCCTCGGGATGCAAGGGTATGGTAAAAAAACAATTTCTTAGATTAATGATAATAAGAAGCCAGTCTTTGGGGATCATACCCGGAGAAGGCAATCTTGGTTGCAAAGGTCCCATAGGAAGCATCACAGCATTAATAGCACAGAGGTCATGCAATAACCCCCATTTTCCTGACCTCTTTGGAATAGTAAAAATAGGAGTGTTCCAGGGACTAGCAGGAGGCTCAATGTGGCCAGCATGTTGTTCTTGTACTAGACGTTGAATATGTTCCAATTTTTCCTTCTTAATGGGCCACTGCTCCACCCATACTGGGCTAGTAGTTTTCCTCTTAATTTTGATAATTTTCAAAGGAGCAGTGGCCCCTACCAAAAAGGTGGCAGGACAGAGAGGTTTAAGCCCCACTGTTCTAGGGCATCTTGTCCCCACAGAGAAAATGGAATTTCTAAGATAAAGGGCTGAACCTGGGCAACCTTGCCTTCCAGGCCCAAAAGTGGAAGGTTATGCCTACTTTTTAATGGCTGCTGATACTCTCCAACACCCATGATAGAACATAAGGCAGAAGAGGAGGCCCAATCTGAAGGCCAGTGTTTTTTAGCTATAATAGTTTGATCAGCTCTTGTGTCAATAATTCCCATAAACATAACTCCATTAATTTTTACTTCCAAGTATGGTTTATGAGATGACACTGGACTACTCCAAAAAACTTTCATGCCTGAGTGGCCGAATCCTGAGGCCCCACCATTTTCTGTTGAGTATTACCTTGAAGGTAAGGAATAAGAATAGTCTGAGCAAGGCGAGTTCCTTTAGAGATGGTGTGGACCCCTGACACCTGTGCCATAAGTTTTATTTCTCCTAAATAGTCTGAATCTATCACTCCAGGGAGAATTTGAATCCCTTTAAGTGTATTAGAAGACCTTCCAATAATCAATCCAAACATTCCTCTGGGTAACCGGTCACAGATTCCAGTTGAAATCAACTGGACCGCATCTTGCTCTTTAAGCACCATGACTGTTATGACTGCGAGGTCCAGCCCTTCGCTGCTGGAGGTGGCAGAAGAGAGGTCATGGATGCTATTTCTGGTCCTGACTCCGAGGAAAAAGCTATTCCCCAAGTCTGGGGATTGGTGTTCCTCCATGGATTTTTCTGGGCGCTGGAGATCTCACCCCTCTTCCTGTTTCTTGATAACGGGTTTCCATCCTTATCAAATTTTGATTTGCACTGGTTAGCCCAGTGCTTACCTTTACTGCATTGCAGGCATTCTTTAGAGGGTATTTTAGAGGCCTTTGATTTCTTTGGGACTCCCTTCTATCAGCATTCTTTGGCCATATGCCCGGTTTGGCCACAGTTATAACATGTGGCCCCAGTCATCATTGCAGCAAAAGTCTGGGCCAGATGAGTTGTAGTGCCTACATTCTGGCATGCTTTAATAAACACACTGATTTCAGTGGCAGTGGCTCGGACTGGGGTTATTGCTGCCTGACAATCCTTATTTGCATTTTCAAAAGCCAATTACAACTTAAGAAGTCTGGTGGCTTCAGGATGGGGTACCTGTCTTTTGATTGCAGCCTGCAATTGGTTGATAAATTCAATGTATGTTTCTGTTGCATCCTGTCTAACCATCACAAAGGAACCCTGGGATTGTCCCACGGGTATCCTCTTCCATACTTGTATGGCTAGCTGCGAGCATTGAGGAAATCAACTGCTGTCCACCTGAGCCTGAGCCTGAGCTGAAGAAAAGGCCCTGTTACCAATAGCATATAAAGCTGTATCAGGATATCATTATCCAAAATTTGTAATCATTGCTGCATGGCTAAATGACTGTACTCGCTCCCCCACACAGTATATTCGGCAGCTGAAACCAAAACTTTTACCAGAGTGTCTTCTTTATGCCCTACTGAAGGGAGTGAAGTGGGGCGAGGAGCCCCTCTTTGTTGTTCTGGTTCCTGTGTACCCTTTCCCTTTAAATCTTCTGAATTCCCTTCAGGTGAAGAAAATGGGTGATGTGACTCATCACAGTCTGGCATATCAAAAGGGTATAACGCAGAGTGTAACCAACTCCAGGTGGTCAAAACGGTAACATTAGCAAAATGGCCCTGCTCCAATCCTCTTTTCAGGCAGCAACGCACCTGCTCCCATAACTTTAAATCTAATGTTCCTTGATCATGTAACCAAGGGCATTCCTGCCAAATTAAAAGCATAAGCTTATGCAAAGCTTCGGACTCTACAGTGCACTGGATAGCCTTAAGTAATTGTTGCACCATTTTATAAAAAACTTTCTGCTCTTTGGTCAACTCCTGACTCATGGTAACCCGACCCTTGGTATTATACACTTTGGTCACATCCTCCTGAAAACGGGTTGGGACTGTTCCTTACTGGTATTCCCCAAAGATTGGTGAGTCATCCTACTCCACGTGTAACTTCAAAGCAGTCGCATCAGGGTCACCACTTGCAGGTTGCTCTGCAGTGAACGCCGAGAAATAAGTATTCATACAATTACAATGAACGGGGTGGGGAGCAGCTCCTTCAAGGGATTGCTGCTTTAAGATCTGTCTGTCAAGTATTTGTTGAGAAGGCTTGTTAAACTACAATTTAGACAAACAAGAAACATCCACCAGGTGGCTATTTGGGGGTCAGGTCATGAGGTACATATGGCCTTATTTATTACATCTGAAAGCACTCAAACCACATTCTTAGGATGCTGTCTTCAGCACTCCTTATCACACATCCTGTTCCTTGTCCTGTTTTCAGAGTCAAGGAGTTACAGTATCATGCACAAACAACATACACACAGTGCCTTAGTATTTTTCCATGCCTCAACCTCAAATGCCTTGTATATAAGCTTGAATGTATTGTCGTACACCCCCACACACTGAGCAGCAAAGCATTGAAGATGTCGCCTGGCTGCTTCTAACAGCATATGGTCATATGTGTGAGCAAAGAGATGTCTGAAACTGGAAGTTATATTTAAAGGGGAAGCAGGGCATAAAAGTTTAGAATATTTGCAGTCTGACCATGCACTAGAAAAGAAAACCCCATTTTCTGGGAGGAATTCAAGCCATCTACAGAAATTTGCATAAGTAACATTGCAGAATGTTAATAGCCAAGACAATGGGGAAAATGCCTTGAAAGCATTTCAGAGAACTTTGTAGCAGCCCCTCCCATCACAAGCCCAGAGGTCTTGGAGAGAAGAATGGTTTCATGGTCCAGGCCCAGGGCCCTGCTGCCCTGCACAACCATGGGACATTGCTCCCTGTGTCCCAGCCACTCAAGTGCCAGTTGTAGCTAAAAGGGCCCCAGATACATGTTAACCCACTGCTCTAGAGGGTGTCAGCCATAAGACTTAGTGGCTTTCATGTGGTGTTAAGCCTGCAGATGCACAGAGCACAAGAGTTGTGGCTTGGAAGCCTCAGCCTAGATATCAGAGGATGTATGGAAATGCCTGGATGTCCAGGCAGAAGTCTGCTGCAGGGGCAGAGGCCTCATGGAGAACTTCTACTGGGACAGTGCAGAGGGGAAATGTGGGGTTGGAGCCCCCACACAGAGTCCCCATGGGGGCACTACCTAGTGGAGCTGAGAAGAGGGCCAGCATCCTCTATATCCCAGACAGATAGATCCACTAGCAGCTTGCACCATGTACCTGAAAAAGCCACAAGCACTCAGCGCCAGCCCTGGGACCTGAGCGCAGCAGAGCCACAGGGGCAGAACAGCCCAAGGCTTTGGGAGCCCACCCCTTGCATCAGTGTGGCCTGGATACAGGACATGGAGTCAAAGAAGATTATATCAGAGCTTTAAGATTTAATGACTACCCTAGTAGTCATTATCTAAAGCTGGGCTTCAGAATTGTATGAGGCCTGTAGCCCCTTTGTTTTGACTAATTTATCTCTTTTGGAATGGGTTCATTTACCCAATGCCTGTACCCTCATTGTATCTTGGAAGTAACTAACTTGTTTTTTATTTTACTGGCTCATAAGCAGTAGGGACTTGCTTTGTCTCACAAGAAACTTTGGACTATAGATTTTTCACTTAATGCTAAAATGAGTTGAGACTGGGGGGATGTTGAGAAGGGCTAATTGTATTTCACAATATGAGAAAGACATGATATTTGGGAGGGGACAGAGGCAGAATGGTATGGTTTTGATGTGTCCCTGCCCAAGCCTCATGTCAAATTGTAATCCCTAATGTTGGAGGAGGGGCCTGATAAGAGGTGATTGGATCATGGGGGCAGATTTCCTCCTTGCTGTTCTCATGATAGCAAGTGAGTTCTCATGAGATTTGGTTGTTTAAAAGTGTGTAGCACCTCTCCCTGTATTCTCTTCTTCCTGCTCCAGCCATGCTTCCCCTTCACCTTCCACCATGATTGTAAGTTTCCTGAAGCCTCCCCAGCCATGCTTCCAGTACAGTCTATGAACTGTGAGCCAATTAAACCTCTTTTGTTTATAAACTACCCAGTCTCAGGTAGTTCTTTATAGAAATGTGAGAATGGACTAATACAATGAGTCATACTTTAAGACCAAACAGGAAATTATCAGGCTGAATATGTCATCACAGATCTCAACTAACACCTGGAATAATAATTTGTTATTATCATTATTATTTCTTTCTTAGACAAGATCTCACTTTGTCACTCAGACTGGAGTACAGTGGTGTGATCATGGCTCACTGTAGCCTTGATCACCCGGGCTCAAGCAATTCTCCCACCTCAGCTTCCTGGGTAGCTGGGACCACAGGTGTGTGCCAGCACACCCTGCTAATTTTTAAATTATTTGTAGGGACAAGGTCTCACTATGTTGCCCAGGATGGTATTGAACTCCTGGGCTGAAGTGCCTCAGCTTCCTAAAGTGCTGGGATTACAGGAAAGAGCACTTTCCCTAGAATAAAGCCCACCCTAGAATAATGATATTTTACTGAATCCAAAGTATATACAGGAGGCAGAATTTATTGTATTCACCATGACTTGTCAACAAACTAGAGATAAGAGAATTAATACCAATGGCAAGAGGTGGGGAAAGTTTTAAATAACTAAGAATATTGATATCTGCAGAGGAAAAAGCAAATAAAAATAGTCAAAGGATTAAGTGTTCTAATGTTTCTTAAGGAGGTAGAATGCCAAACAAAAGGGATAATCCGAAGATTGAAGGAAATGCCTTACCTGGTCATTATGACAGATGAACGACTCCCACTAAGAATCCTGTTTTCGTAATACCACAGGAGGCCATATTATTGGAGAGTTCAAAGAAGTTACTACAAAATACCAAAGATTAGCTCCAAAATTAGGAAAAAAGTTTTATTAGGACAACAATTAATCAAGTTTTGCCTCATGATCCTCACCTTTGAACTTATCTTAGTTACAGAAAATTATTTGCCTTCAAACACCTGTCTTGTCTGGGCACAGTGGTTCATGCCTGTAATCCCAGCACTTTGAGAGGCCGAGGCGGGCAGATCACCAGAGGTCAGGAGTTTGAGACCAGCCTGACCAACACGGTGAAACCTCGTCTCTACTAAAAATACAAAAATTAGCCAGGCATGGTGGTGCTTGCCTGTAATCCCAGTGACTGGGGAGGCTGAGGCAAGAGAATCACTTGGACCCAGGAGGCGGAGGTTGCAGTGAGCTGAGATCGTGCCATTGCACTGCAGCCTGGGCAACAGAGCAAGACTCCATCTCAAAAACTAAAAAACGAACAAACAAACAAAACACACCTGTCTTAAACGATTTGCGTTCAGATGCCCAAACCGTATAAATATCCTTCCCTAACTTTCTCTTTTTGAGTCACTGCGAAGACTTTGTTAAAATAGTCTCCTTTGGAATAAATTTAATAAACTCAGCTTTGTTTGGTCAACAGCTTTTTCTGGGATCTCCAACCAAATTCTTCTGGTTGAAACCATGAAGCAGCCTTTGGTTTCTTTAGAAGTTATTTAGTACTACTAGCCAGATTGACTAAATGTCTTTCTTGGAAGTGTGTGAGACACTTTGAGATAAAAGATGATTGGTGACATAATGTATGGAAAGATAATGTATGCAAATGCTTAATGCTTGGTATAGTTTCTGGCACAATGTAGGTGTTCAATGAATGTTAGCTATATTAAAATCCCCTAATTTGGCCAGGCACGGTGGCTCCTGCCTGTAGTCCCAGCATTTTGGGAGGCAGAGACAGGTGGATAGCTTGAGCTCAGGAGTTTGAGACCAGCCTGTGCAACATGGCAAAACCCCATCTCTACAAAAAATATAAAAAATTAGTTGGGTATGGTGGTGTGCACCCTGTAGTCCCAGCTACTTGGGAGGCTGAGATGAGATAATCTCTTGATCTGGGAGGCAGAGGTTGCAGTGAGCAGAGATTGTGCCACTGTACTGCAGCCTGGGTAATAGAGCAAGACTCAGTCTCAAAAAAAAAAAAAAATCCGAATTCTCCATTTCTTCCTTACTTGGACCCCCAGGCAGCCTTCAAATTCCAGGCTAATTGTCTCTGAATTAAAGCTCTGATTTATAAATCATCACTGGTTTCCATCGATGTGATTGGCAGAGATCATTTTTTTTTCTTCCCTCCTATCCTTTGACTCCTGTTCTCCTCTATTACCACCAGCAAGCTGAGGGAGGAATTCAACTCCACATTTGCCCCTCTTTAGCTGTCTTAGAGGAATTTTTCCTGAGGGGAATTAACTCTGAGTAGAGGACCTCGGTTCATTGATGTTTTATTTTAATGATGAAAGGTGGGCTGGGCGCAGTGGCTCACGCCTGTAATCCCAGCATTTTGAGAGGCCGAGGAGGGCGGATCACGAGGTCAGGAGATCGAGACCATCCTGGCTAACACGGTGAAATTCCGTTTCTACTAAAAATACAAAAAATTAGCCGGGCGTGGTGAGGGGCGCCTGTAGTCCCAGGTACTCGGGAGGCTGAGGCAGGAGAATGGCACGAACCCAGGAGGCAGAGGTTGCAGTGAGCAGAGATCGGGCCACTGCACTCCAGCCTGGGCAACAGAGCGAGACTCCATCTCAAAAAAAAAAAAAAAAAAAAGAAAGAAAAGGACGAAAGATGAAAAATACTTTGACCCTGATAACTGAACAGATTTTCTTTTCTGCCACTTTCCCTAAATAAAGGAACAAATCTACGTCTTCTCAAAAGCATTTTGGATGGCATTGCTGAACAGGAGAATCTTGGTTAAGTCATAAGGTTAATGAAATTGGGAGTCTAGGAGAAACCTCAGTATATATTTATTTTTATTTTAATTTTTTTTATTTTACTTTAAGTTCCGGGATACATGTGCAGAATGTGCAGATTTATAACATAGGTATACATGTGCCATGGTGGTTTGCTGCACCTGTCAACTCATCATCTAGGTTTTAAGCTCCACATGCATTAGATATTTGTCCTAATGCTCTCCCTCCCCTTGCCTGGCACCCCCTGAGAGGCCCCAGTGTGGGTTGTTCCCCTCCCTGTGTCCATGTGTTTTCATTGTTCAACTTCCATATATGAGGGAGAACAAGCAGTGTTTGGTTTTCTGTTCCAGTGTTAGTTTGCTGAGAATGATGGCTTCCAGCTTTATCCATGTCCCTGCAAAGACGTGAACTCATTCTTTTTTATGGCTGCATAGTATTCCATGGTATATATGTGCCACATTTTATTTAACCAGTTTATCATTGATGGACATTTGGGTTAGTTACAAATCTTTGCTATTGCAAATAGTGCTGCAGTAAACATATGTGTGCATGTGTCTTTATATTAGAATGATTTGTAATCCTCTGGGTATATACCCAGTAATGGGATTGCTGGGTCAAATGATATTTCTGGTTCTAGATGCTTGAGGAATGCCACACTGTCTTCCACAATGACTGAACTAATTTACACCCCCACCAACAGTGTAAAAGTGTTTCTATTTCTCCACAGCCTCACCAGCATCTATTGTTTCCTGACTTTTTAATAATCGCCATTCCAACTGGTGTTAGATGGTATCTCATTGAGGTTTTGACTTGCATTTCTCTAATGATCAGTGATGTTGAGTTTTTTTTCATATGTTTGTTGGCCATATAAATGTCTTCTTTTGAGAAGTGTCTGTTCTTATCCTTTGCCCACTTTTTGATGCAGTTGTTTGTTTTCTTATTGAAAATTTGTTTAAGCTCCTTGTAGATTCTGGATATTAGACATTTGTCAGATGGGTAGACTGCAAAATTTTTTTCCCATTCTGTAGGTTGCCTGTTCACTCTGATGATAGTTTCTTTTGCTGTGCAAAAGTTCTTTAGTTCGATTAGATCCCATTTGTCAATGTTGGCTTTTGTTGCCATTGCTTTTGATGTTTTAGTCATGAAGTCTTTGCCCATGCCTATGTCCTGAATGTTATTGTCTAGGTTTTCTTCCAGGGTTTTTATGGTTTTGGGTTTTACATTTAGCTCTTTAATTTATCTTGAGTTAATTTTTGTATAAGGTGTAAGGAAGAGGTCCGGTTTCAGTTTTCTGCATATGGCTGGCCAGTTTTCTCAGCACTATTTATTAATTAGGGAATCCTTTCCCCATTTCTTGTTTTTGTCAGGTTTGTTGAAGATCAGATGGTTGTAGACATGTGGTGTTATTTCTGAGGTCTCTTTTCTGTTCCATTGATCTATATCTCTGTTTTGGCACCAGTACCATGCTGTTTTGGTTACTGTAGCCTCATAGCATTGTTTGAAGTTGGGTAGTGTGATGCCTCCATCTTTGTTCTTTTTGCTTAGGATTGTCTTGGCTATATGGGCTCTTTTGTGTTTCCATATGAAATTTGAAGTAGTTTTTTTCCAATCCTGTGAAGAAAGTCAATGGTAGCTTGATGGGAATAGCATTGAATCTATAAATTACCTTGGGCAGTATGGCCATTTTCACAATATTGATTCTTCCTACCCATGAGCATGGAATGTTTTTCCATTTGTTTGTGTCCTCTCTTATTTCCTTGAGCAGTGGTTTGTAGTTCTCCTTGAAGAGGTCCTTTACATCCCTTGTAAGTTGTATTCCTAGGTATTTTATTCTCTTAGTAGCAATTGTGAATGGGAGTTCACTCATGATTTGGCTCTCTGCTTGTCTATTATTTGGTGTATAGGGATGCTTGTGATTTTTGCACATTGATTTTGTATGCTGAGACTTTGCTAAAGTTGCTTATCAGCTTAAGGAATTTTGGGCTGAGATGGCGGGGTTTTCTAAATATAGAATCATGTCATCTGCAAACAGAGACAATTTGACATCCTCTCTTCCTATTTGAATACCCTTTATTTTTTTCTCTTGCCTGATTGCCCTGGACAGAACTTCTGATACTATGTTGAATAGGAGTTGTGAGAGAGGGCATCCTTGTCTTTTGCTGGTTTTTTAGGCAAATGCTTCCATCTTTTGCCCATTCAGTACGATATTAGCTATGAGTTTGTCATAAATAGCTCTTATTATTTTGAGATATGTTCCATTAATACCTAGTTTATTGAGAGTTTTTAACATGAAGGGATGTTGAATTTTATCGAAGGCCTTTCTGCATCTATTGAGATAATCACGTGGTTTTTGTCAGTACATCTAATTAATGAGTTCCAGTATCATGAACATAAAAGGTAGTTTAGGAAGAGGGATGCCTCAGAAGGTTTCCCATGTTGTTTCATTCATCAGAGATCAAGAGACACCATAAATCACTGCAATATCCCCATTAGTTCCTAAAATTTTGCTTTCTGAGACAGCATATCTTAAATGCCAACTCTGGGTTATAAAATTCAAATTGACTCTGAAATTTAAAGAGGAAACATATGAACTGTAAATGTGTGAAGGAAATCTTCCAACCCCCCATCCCAAAATCCACTACAGCAATGTTTACTTTGTCCTTTATAATTATGGGATGAAATGATAAGACTGATGACTTCACTCTTTGATTGGGATGAGTGGGGTACAGTGTTTGTGTGTGTTTGGGGGTGGGAGTAGGAAGGTTTACTGCTGGGAATTGATGTGTTGGTAAATGCTTGACAACCAGCCAAGAGTGTGATGGATGCCCTCATTTACATCATTGCTGATTTCTGTGGTATCAGTACTCCCATTGTAGCTGATTGCAAGCTATCAGTGTGACATTACTGAACTTGGAGTTGGAAAGTAATGTGCAATAGCACACCATTATATAGTATTTCAACCATGCAAAATCAGTCAACAAAAATAACCTAAAGAGCAGAAGTAACAGTCAAATATGGTAAAAATATAAGGAAGTGATGAGTTTGGGTATTTATTACCTTTGGTTTAGATATAATTTATTAAGTTATAAGCTTATATCATTTAATTTTTAATAATGGCTGTGTTTAACAACTTGTTTAGAAAATTTAACATGTGGCCTGGCACAGTGGGTCATGCCTGTAATTCCAACACTTTGGGAGGCTAAGGCAGGAGGATCGCTTGAGCCCAGGAGTTTGAGACCAGCCTGGGCAACAGAGCAGGACCCCATCTCTACAAAAAAAAAATTTGTTTTAAATTTACTGGGTGTGGTGGTGCACACCTGGAGTCCCAGCTACTCAGGAGGATGAGGTGGGAGGATTGCATAAGCCTGGGAGGTTAAGGCTGCAGTGAGCTGCAATCATCATGTCACTGTACCCCAGCCTGGGTGACAGAGCAGGAGCCTATCTCAAAAAAAGAAAAAAGAAAGAAAGAAAGAAAGAGGAAAAAAATAGAAGAAAGAAAATTTGGCTGGGCATTATGGCTCACACCTGTAATCCTAGCACTTTGTGAGGCCAAGGTGGGAAGATGGTTTGAACTCAGGAGTCCAAGACCATCTTGGGCAATATGGCAAAACCCCATTATTACAAAAAAAAAAAAAAAATTAGCCGGCCACATTGGCACGTGCCTGTGGTCCCAGCTCTTTGAGAGGCTGAGGTGAGAGGATTGCTGGAGCTTGGGAAGTTGAGGCTGCAGTGAGCTGTAATTGAACTACTGCACTCCAGCCTGGGTGACAGAGTCTCACTCTGTCTTAATAAATAAATAAATAAATAAAAAGAGAAAAGAAGGAAAATTTGACACTTAACGCTTTTTTTAAATTAATCAATTTTATTTGCTTATTTTGACAGAGTGAGACCCTGTGTCAAAAAATAAATAAATAAAAATAGAAAAGAAAAGAAAATTTGACACTTACCTCTTTTTTTAAAAAATTAATCAATTTTATTGGCTTATTTTTATTTTTTTTCTTCCAACTTTTATTTTAGGTTCAGGGGAACATTTAACTCTCATGAGCCAACATCAAAACACTTTTGTGACAGCAGAGTACATTACTCTATCTCTTTTTGCCTGTCATGATGTACTAGCAGTTCTTATTGGCCACGTGGGTTATTTTAAACCTGAAGTCTCAATCTCCCACCCACTTTTTCTTACCAAGACCCTGCCTCTAATAGAAAGCATATGGTCCCATTGAATCTCAGTCTCAAGTAAAAATTTATTTTTTGGGGTGGGAAAAGGGTAGCCAGATGGACTGTACAGCTGTGCATTCTTCCTGAGGAGCATTCTACCCTTCAAGACCTAAGAGTTAGGGTGAGAAGGCAAGAAGGAAGCCTGCGCTATTAGTACTACAGCCAAGCATCAGGACTTTTTTGAAATGATCTGTACAGGGACAGAGCAGTGACATTTTGCTTAGAGTCATGTGGACTCAGCTGCTCAAATAATTAATGTTCCAACATAGATGACTCATTTTGTAAGAACATTAAGTTCATAGCCAATTTGTTAATACAAGAAAACTATCACCTCATTTTTTTAACTGAAAAAGTATTGCTTAAATTTTATGAGTTATAATTTTCATTTTGGATGAAGGTGGATTGAAATGCACAAAGATGGTGCTGGAGCCATACTGGCACTGTTTTCAATGTGGGTGTCTTATTTTCCAGGATGGTTAGGGGACAGAAAGCTGTCATCTGAGGATGGTTTGAAGAAACTGTGCTTTTCCTAGAGAAGACAGAAGGAAGCCATGATATCTACTTTCAAAAGCTAAAAACGTTGCCAGGTGGAAGAGGGATTAGAACTTGTTTTGCAAATTATCATGGCAGTTAGAAATAGGGGCCCTGTATTACAGACATCTGAGTTCCAATACTGGCTCTCATCACTTACTAGCTGTATGTCCTTGGACAAATTATGGAAACTCTTTAAACTTCAGATCTCTTATCTGTAAAATGAAGTGTATTCATTTCCTATTGCTACTGTAACAAATTACTACATATTTAGTGGCTTAAAACAACATAAACTTATTATCTTACAATTCTGGTGGTCAAGCTCCAAAGTGGGTCTCACTAGGCTAAAATCAAGGTGTTATCGAAACACCAGGGGTTTGGGCTAAGTCCTGCAGCTTGCTGCACAGAAAGCCAATGACTGAGACAATGAGTATTGCCAGTGGAGAAGGCTTTCATCTGGTGCTGCAGCTAAGGAGATGGGAAATCAGTGTCAAATCCATCTCCCTGAGTGACTAAAATTAGGGGTTTATATAGCAGGGAAGAAATGCAACTATGTATGGGAAAACAGAAACTTAGGAGGGGTAAGGAAGCAATCAGGATGAATGAGGGGCCTAGTATCTCATTGTCTGGATGGATAAATTGGTGAGCCACAGGTTTTTGATACTTTTTGAGAGGGTTAGAAGTCCTTTCCTGAGGAAGGAACTCAGATAAAAACAAATGTAAGTTTCAAGATTTAAGACCAAACTGAAGGGTCAATTTCTATGTTTATGTAACAAAAAAGTCTATGGGACTATTGAGATAGTTTCAGTTCCCCCTCTCCATTTATCAGTTCCTCAGTCATGGGGAATCTGGTTGTCAATCTTTCTGACTGCTTCATGCTGAGAAGAGGTGTTGTGGGCAGCTCAAAGATTAATCTAAAACTATAGTTTCATTCTGAAACACAATCTTTCTCTTTCCAGTCCCCCACTTCCACCAGAGACAAATCACAGCAGCACCAATCTACCTGAAAAATAAGCTTCAGTCCCATGTACTTGGCCTGATTACCCACACATAGCAGGAAGAATCAGTGTCCACATAGGCTTTCCTCAATCAGCTTTGTTGGAACCTCTCACAAGGACATTTCAGTCAAAGCCCTGGAAGAAAACCAGTTCCTCCAACTGTGTCCCATTATAAAAGAAAACAGATTCTTATTGAACTTATACAAACAAACACATTGCCATAAATTAAGAATATTCATAAATAATTTACAAATTCTGGAGAAATGAGGCACAGAAAAATATGCCTCAAATTCTGTTTAGAAGAGTATACTCTACTCAATTGTTAAAGGCTATAAATAGCTCGAAGGGATAAAAGTTCTCCAGACTCTGAGGAATCAGTGATGTTTCTTTCTTTTTTTTTTTTTTTTTTTTAGGCCAAGTCTCACTCTGTCACCCAGGCTGGAGTGCAGTGGCGCTATCTCGGCTCACTGCAAGCTCCACCTTCCAGGTTCACTCCATTCTCCTGCCTCAGCCTCCTGAGTAGCTGGAACTACAGGTGCCCGCCATCATGCCTGGCTAATATTTTGTATTTTTAGTAGAGATGGGGTTTCACCATATTAGCCAGGATGGTCTCGATCTCCTGACCTCGTGATTCGCCTGCCTCAGCCTCCCAAAGTGCTGGGATTACAGGCATGAGCCACTGTGCCCAGCCATCAGTGATGTTTCAAACAAACAAACAAACAAAAAGCCCTAAAAAGTTATTTCAGTCCTCCATTCATTCAGTCCATGTGCCCAAAGCCTTAGGATCCCACACCTTGCATCACTGTGGCCAGGATGTGAGACATGGAATCAAGGGAGATTATTTTGGAGATTTAAAATTTAATCACTGCCCTGCTGGGTTTCAGACTTGCATGGGGCCTATAGCCCCTTTCTTTTGGCTGATTTTTCCCCTTTGGAATAGGAGTATTTACTCAATGCCTACACCCCCATTGTATCTTGAGAGTAACTAACTTGTTTTTTATTTTACAGGCTCATTGGCAGAAGGGACTTGCCTTGTCTCTGATGAGAATTTGGACTTTGTACTTTTGAGTTAATGCTGAAATGAGTTAAGACTTTGGGGGTTCTGTTGCATCACAAGGTTAAAAAAGACTTTGGAGGACTGTTGGGAAGACATGATTATATTTTGAAATGTAAGAAGAACATGAGATTTGGGAGGGGCCAGTAGAGAATGATATGGTTTGGGTCTGTGTTCCCACCCAAATCTCATGTCAAATCCCCAACAGTGGAGGTGGGGCCTGATGGGAGGTAATTGGTAATTGGATCATGGAGAAGATTTTCCCCTTTGGTGTTGTTCTCATGATAATTAGTGAGTTATCATGAAATTTGGTTGTTTAAACCTCCCCACTCCCTCTCTTCCCCCTGCTCTAGCCACGTAAGACATGCCTGCTTCCCCTCTGCCTTCCACCATGATTGTAGGTTTCCCGAGGCCTCCCCAGCCATGCTTTCTGTACAGTTTGTAGAACTATGAGCCATTTAAACCTCTTTTCTTTATAAATTACCCATTCTCAGGTATTTCTTTAGGGCAGCACAAGAACAGTCTGATGCACTATGAAATCAACTCCTGATCTGCTTCATATTGGGTTAGAAATCTTTATAAATGTTTCTATCAGCCTTTAATTAGAATCCTAGTTTTCTCTCTAATCCAGTGGCAAAATCTCCAAATTTATCAGAAAAGAGTCCTTTTCAGGAAGGAAGGAGTCCTTTTCATGAAACCCCAAAGAAGCAAGGGACAGTAGCTGATTATAAGTCAATTTTTGAGAAGAATCCATGCAAAACAACAATTGTGGATGACAAAGTCTTAGGACAGCAATAGTTAAAGATACAATTGATAAAGAAATTTGGTTATTTCTATGGTATACAACAATTTAACATAATAATCATAATAATTACTGACAAGAAATATTAAAACATCAGAATTTCAGGAATCTCAAACAATTCTGGACACTTATTAACAACACATCTATATAAATGTAACACAAAAAAAGCTAAACACACCTAAGATTTTGACAATGCTTCCTGCATAATTCTAACATAATAAATAAGCCTAATAAGGCTAATAAGTCCCTCTTGGACTTCAGTGAACCTAATATTTGAAAAAGTTATTTTGAGGTCAAAAAGACTGAATTTAGAACTTGAAATTTTGCTCTTGGAAAGTCTGCCACCTATCAAAGGTTTAAGACACTTGATATCACAAAATAGGATTATAGGTGACTATAAAATAGTCATTCATTTAGCAAAATGCTAAAACAAGAATATTCATACTTTAATAGAGAAGATGACTTAATTTCCAAAACAATAAGACCTAATAAAGACAATATGAAGCCAACTAAATCTGTCTTTTGCCCTCCCTTTTTTCATTCTTCTGTAGTTTTATTCAAAAGGTAAACACAATATTTTATTATCTCTCACCTGAAAATTTTGTTCCAAAGACAAAATCAAATTTTTGCTTTGTATGGTGTATTACTAATGTTAAATGTTAATAAAACCTTATAAGCAAATCTGTCTAATGTTAATCAGTTTGACCATAAGGTAAGATTTCCATAATCTTTCTATACCCTATTAAATAGCATATCAATGATCCAAGAAAACCCTGTTATTCCAACAGACAGGCCCAGATGCTGGCCTTGCATTAGTGTGCTTTTGATATTAATGTTTAATTTATATAAAAATTCTGAATAAATCTTATCCCTCAGAGTTTGCCCTTACAATCTCATGTGCCCACCTCTTCCACAATAATCCCTGGGCCTAGAGGGGTTGAATAGTGTTAACATCTGGATCTGTATTTCACTAAAGCAGTTTATTTTGATTGTCACCTTCTCCTGGGACTGAAGACGAGACTTCGACTGATGTCAATGCTCAAGATTTAGCAGAGGTCAGTACCTTTTTCAATCCCAGGAGTCAAAGTCCTGTAACTTAACAGCACAAGGTTTAGTTAATAGGATATTTATACAACAGAAAGTCCTATCATGCTAACATGTCACAAATTAAAACACTGTGATTTGGTGTCCAGTAGTTATTGCCTGAAGCACTTCAAACTATTGTATTAAAGTGATTAGGTTACTCCTTGCATATATCTAATTGCTAGGATTCTAGTGACAAAACTGTGACCAAAAGCATCAAAAAGTGATAGGTTCCTTTTGTAGAGCAGCAGCATAAAAGCCTGAGTATGCAGAACTCCATCCCACTTTCCCATTCAAAAGCAAACTCCAGATTCCAAAGAATATTGGGGGTAAACAGTATTACAAAATAATATCAGTTTATCTAATTCAAATTTCCCATGGCTATATGGACACACACAAAAACAATCACCAAAACACAATCCAACTGCTGCAGCAACAAACAAGCCCCAAAAGTGTCCAAACTGAAAGAGTTAGGGTGCTTCATCTCTTCATTGGTTGAGCTTGATCAACCTACAAACAGAAATTCCTTCAGAATTTCTCAGTTGAGAGGAGCCAATCTCTCTGTCTGGTACCCACAAAAGATACTCACTTGCCTGGACACACACATACAACACGATTACAAACAAGACCCCAAGAATGTTTATACTGAAACAGCCAGGGTGCTTCCCTCATGTCAGTTGGGCTTGTTCAACCTGCAAATGAAAATTACTGAAAAAATTTCCCGAATTGAGAGGAATAGACCCTGCTGCCTGGGCACACAAAGAACTCTCACCTATCCAGATGTGGATGCCAAATCTCAAAGGCAGTTCTTCCTGGGTAATCAGGAATGCAACTGGGGCCAGCAGCAGCAGCAGGGCCGGAGAGAAACAGAAACTCACCTCCAGCCAAAATTGGGTGGGCAGCTGCTTAGCAGGGCTTCTGGGCCTCCTGGCCCATGGCAGCTGAGCACAAGCAATGCATTGTTGGATAGGAAACCAAAATCTGTTACTAAAACACCAGGGGTTTGGTGTAAGTCCTGCTGCTCACCACACAGAAAGCCGATGACTGAGACAATGAGTATTGCCAAGGAAGAAGGCTTTCATCGGGTGCTGCAGCTGAGGAGATGGGAGATCAGTGTCAAATCCATCTCCCTGAGTGACTAAAATTAGGGATTTTTATAGCAGGGGAGAAATGTAACTGTGTAGGGGAAAACAGGAACTCAGGAGGGGTAAGAAAGAAATCTTGATGAATGAGGGCTTAATGTCTCGTCTGGATGCTGTGACTTGGTGAGTTTCATTCTTTGATACTTTTTGAGAGGTCTACGGTTCCTTTTTTGAGGAAGGAACTCAGATAAAACAAATGTAAGTTTCAAGATTTAAAACTAAAAGTGTCAATTTCTATGTTTATTTTGAAAAACTGTCTATGTGACTACTGGGTCTGTTTCAGTGTCAGCAGGGCTGCATTCCTTCTGGAGGCTCTAGGAAAGAATCCATCTCCTTGCTTTTTGCAGCTTCTAGAGGCCACCTGCAGTCCTTGGCTCATTTCCCCATTCCTCTATCTTCAAAGCCAACAAAGTTGGGCCAAGTTCTTCTCACACTGCTATCTTTCTGGTTCACTATCTTCTGCCTCCCTCTTCAATTTACAAGGACTCTAGTGATTACATTCAGCTGTAACTTCCCCTCCATCTTCTGAAGGTTCACAGAAAAATTAACTCATAAAGAGCAGATAAATTGGAGAAAAGACATACAAATTCATTCACATGACCATGAGGGCAAATCACAGAATGGTTATCTATCCCTCAACTGGGTTCAGAAGCCTAAATAGTATCTTGAGGTTACAGAAAGAATGGGGGCTTGGATCCTGGCAAAACACATTATGGGAGGGGGGAAAAGAGGAATTCTGTTGAGGGGCAGTAAATCTTTCTGAGGAAAATGAATGGATTAGAGAACAGAGGTTCACTTGTAAATTAGTTCTCTTTGGAATTTTTATGAACCTGAGAGACAGACATTATCTTGTGAAAGGGTCTGCTGAGGTGTGGTTACATTCATGGTCATCCTTTCTGCAATAGATAATGAGATAGAAAGGAAGGCAAGAAAAAAAAAAACTATTGTTCTCCTTGGCGTGTCCTTCTGGTCTTTATGTAGATAGGGGAAAAGTCTCTTACAGTGTGTATTGATCTCTAAGAGCCTTTAATTCAAAATACTCATTATACCAAGTGATCATATTTTGGAGTAAAGTTCCTTGTGCTCCTTTATTCCACCTGTCTGGAACTTCCTTGCAAGTTTCATGCATTAAAAGCTGAGTTGGTGGCTGTGAAGTGAGAAATCAGATTAGTAGTCGAGTAGCAAGAGATAGGCAAAGGAGGGGGAAAAAAACAATTTGGGATAAGCAGAAAAGAGCAAATTTAAATATATTGTCCCATATCTGCCTGAATCAGTCTCTTAGTCCTGAGAATAGATCAGTTCAGTTAAACAGCTGTGTCCCATTTCAGGAGATGGCATTGCAGATGGGCTAAGCCTCTATATATAATGCAGGCAAACATCTTTAATAAAAAGGCATTTCTATGGAAACAGAATAAAAACAAAGGTTAATGTCTGGAGTAGTCTATAAACTAAGTTTTCTATAAACTAGCTTTTCTAGTTTATAGACTGCTCCAGAGTCTGTGAAGCATATTCAGATTATAGTGGCAATCTGACAGATATTCCCTGGATTATAGTTTGAATCAGGTGTTCAAGTCAACTTTTGGAATAGTTCATACACCAAAAGGCATGAAGGCCATTTATAAATAAGTTGCTGCGGTGATTTCTCCTGAAGTTTATATCAGGTTGTCTAGCTTCAGTTTGCAGGGCTTCAAGAAAAGAAGATTTAATTTCTAGTGATTTCAAATCAGTAAAAGGGGAGGAAATTTTGAAAACATTAGTTTGGAGACTTGTAGCAAGGAAGAAATTTAGAATTTAGTCCAAATTGTAGGCAAATAATAAAAACTTTAAAACAATGGAAAGGCTAGAACCTAATTACAGGTGTACTATGACAGAGCAGGAGCATCGCCATCTTGGACAAGCCCCTCATTCTAAAGTTCACCTTAATAAAAAACCACCTAAATCCAAAGGACATCAGCCTAATGGCTAAGGTCAGCATGACCATAAACCACAAATAACATCTCCAACCAGAAACATTCCAAACTCCTCCCTGACCAGAGACATGCCAGACCAGAGATAAACCCTGCTCTGGCCTGGAAGATGCTAGCCCTGAGATAACCCCGTTCCAGGCTGGAAAGATGTCTGTCCTAAGATAACCTCCCCTCCTCCCAGAAAGATTCTGCCATAAACTTTTCCACACACATAAACATTCATAAGCCCCCTCACCCTAAAACCAATATATACTCCTAGTCTGCAAGAGAAAGGGCTTCTGACCAAAATGGGCCGGGGATACCTCTCAGGTTTGATCTAAAGTAAACCTGTCTTCAACTGCAAGCTGTGTTTTGTGTTCCTTTCCTCTTTCTTTAACTCTTACATACTATAGTTTTCTTTTGACTTTTTTTTTTTTTTTTTTTTTTTTTTTTTTTTTTTGTCAGAGACAGGGTCTTATTCTATTGCCCAGGCTGGAGTGCAATGGTGTGATCATGGCTCACTGTAGTCTTGACCTCCTGGGCACAAATGATTCTGCCACCTCTGCCTCCTGAGTAGCTGGAGACAACGGGCACATGCCAGGACACCTGGCTAGTACTTTTTTTTATTTTTGTAAAGACGGTGGTCTCACTATGTTGCTTAGGCTGGGTCTTGAACTTCTGGCCTCAAGTGATCCTCCCACCTTGACCTCCCAAAATGCTGGGATTACAGGTGTCAGCCACTACACCCAGCTATAGTTTTCTTTTCGAAACATAGTTTTTCTCTCCAGTTCCTCATTTCTACCAAAGGCAAATCACAGTAGGACAAATCTAAGTTTTAGTCTTTTTATGCTTGGCCTGTGCTCCTTTGGGACACACACAGATAATTCAGGATAATCTCTCTATCTCAGGGCCAGCTGAGTACCAGCCTTAATTTTATCTGCAGTATTGGTTCTCCTTTGCAATGTAATCTAAATAGTCACAGGTTCCAAGGGTTAGGATGAGAACATCTTTGGCGGCCCATTATTCTGCCTGCCACATGAGGATACTAAAATATAATGAGGATAAAAATAGTACCTACTCACAGCATTGTACTGAGGAAAAGTACATTCTAGAGTTCTTACTTATCTTTGAGTAAGAATTTAAATATGAGCATTTATTATTATTAATAACAATCTATATTAGTTTGCTAGGGCTGCCTTAACAAACTACTGCAAAGTGAGTGGCTTAAAACAACAGGAGTATATTGTCTGTCAGTCCTGGAGGCCAGAAGCCTGAGATCAAGGTGTCATCAGCGTGGTTCCTTCTGAGGGCTTTGAGGGAAGAATCTATTCCATGCCTCTACCCTAGCTTCTGGCAGTTTATTGGCAATCTTTATGTTCCTTGGCTTGTAGATGCATCACTTGATCTCTGCCTTCATGTTCACATGGTGTTTTCCCTGTGTGCATGTCTGTGTCCAATTTTCCCCTTTTTATAAGGACACCAGACACATTGGATTGAGCTCATTCTACTTCAGGGTGACGTCATCTTAATTAGTTACATCTACAATAATCCTCTTCTCAAATAAGGTCACATTCTGAGGCGCTGGGGGCCAGGACTTTAACATATGAACTTTTGGGATATTTGGCTTAACCCATAACACAATCCAAAGGATAGGACTAGGACCATAGGATGGAAGGCATAGGAAGAGCATCATCATTTTCAGCTAATTTTTAAATTTTTTTTTAGAGATGTCTCTCTCTCTCTCTCCTGCCACCATGTGAAAAAGGTGCTTGCTTCCCAACTTTGCCTTCCACCTTGATTGTGAGGCAGCCAGGTGGGTGAGCGTCCCTGCAGAAACTCCAACCTGCCGGCCCACTGAGGTGGAGCCCCGGGAGGTTCACACCCTTTGCAGCAGGGAGGAGCCTGGCCCCTCCTCTTCCTGTTTGGAACCTGGGATTCAAATGGCCTGGCAGGAAGTGCTCTAGCAGAGGGACTCTGGCCTTGCAAGAGTCCCTATTTCCCCCTTTTTTTTTGCTTTTCACACAGTAAAACCCTGCTTTACTTCCCTTTGAGTCGTCTGTGAGCCTAAATTTTTGTGGCTGTGGGAAGGACAAGAACCCCATCTTTAGCTGAAATAAGGAAAAGTTCCGCAACATTTTTGGCACACACCCTGGGGGCTCCGGAAGTGGTGAGTGAAATGGTAACTCAAAACCTCTCACTGTTGCTTCTGAGCCTTTTCATCCTCAAACTTCTGAAGGTGGGGGAAACCATGTCCCCACCCCACCCCTCTTCACTCCTGGGCCTTTTCATGTCCTCCTTCCTTTTTTGGGACCGACTGGGGAACAGAAGCTCCCTTCTCCCTTATCTCCTTACCTCTCCCTTACCTCCAGGGGCTGAGACGCATGGACCAAGGGTCCGGCATAGCTGGTTGGCAGTCCCCACCCCACAGAACTGCTGGAGCGTTCTCCTTTCCCAGTCAAGGGGTTTTACTCCATCTGACAGTAATTGAGCTTTTCTCCTGGTGGAGGAACCACTTGCCTAAGAATAAGAGATTCTTCCCCAGGCACTTTAAAACTGTTCCTTTTCTTTCCCCTTCTCCACCCTGTCAACAGTTAACCTTTACAGTTTTTTCCCCCCATTTACTAGGCCAGGCCCCCAAACTATCACTGTTTAAATTTTCTGTAAACCTTTAATTATGAAAAAGGATTTGTGGGGCTAGTCTTAGGCTGTGGCCAATCTGGTGTGTTTTGCATGTCTATATGGTTTGTGCTACAAGCCTCCACCTTGCTTTAAATCCTGGGGGCATGGCCAGTAACAGCTTGGCAAGGCTTTGTTTAGCAACCCTGCCTTAGGGGATGAGCCCTCTCTGGTTCCTTATCTGCATGTTTTTTTTTTTCTTTCTTTCTTTTTTTTTTTTTTCTTTGTTGCCCAGGCTGGAGTGCAATGGCGTGTTCTTGGCTCACCACAACCTCCGCCTCCTGGGTTCAAGCGATTCTCCTGCCTCAGCCTCCCGAGTAGCTGGGATTACAGGCATGCACCACCAGGCCTGGCTAATTTTGTATTTTTGTAGAGACGGGGTTTCTCCATGTTGGTTAGGCTGGTTGCGAAGTCCCAACCTCAGCTGATCCGCCTGCCCCGGCCTCCCAAAGTGCTGGGATTACAGGCGGGAGCCACCGCGCCCAGCCAATCTGCATGTTTTCTTAACCCTGTCTCTTAAAGAACCCTACCTAGCGACTGGGCTTTCTCCTGTGTGTGTGTGTGTTGCGTGTAATGTCTAAAAAGAGCTCTGATTAATTTGGCCCAAAGACAAGCGCTTCCCTTTTTAAAGGGAAGTTAAAAGCTGTGGAGCCTTTCAGTTCATGTAACTTTAATTTTTGAGAAATAAAAACAGCCCTAAAGACTATTGGTAAAATGCAGGTCACATGCAAGGTTTGCTAAGAGTTTTGAGGTTATGAACTGCTTTTTGGGTTTTGAGAACTATTTGACTTGACGGTTTCACAATTGGTAAGGCCTGGGGACGTAGGGACCTAACCATACCCTTAATAAAGAAGGCAAACCTTGGCTACACTTAGCACACAATTAATACAACTAACCAATTTTTACGTTAAAATTAAAAATTGCTAGAAGTTAATTGAAACTACTAGAAATAGATTTACATGCAAGCTGTGTAAGAAAAGTAAAATGCATTTATTTGTAAAATGTTTTATATAAGAAGGCATGGAAATGTAAACTCTTGCCTAGGGTTAAATGATTGCTTTGAGTTAAATTAGGAAAAAGCTGAAGGTTCAAATAAGTAGTGGAAGAATTGTGGAAATTAATCTTGCAGAAGAGGTTCTCTGTGTGAACATATAGACTAAATTCAAAAACCGGTATTATATGGTTTTTCTGTAAATTGAGCATTGAAATAAAAGCATAACATGGTTTTCCTAAGGTGCTAATCTGCTCTTTGGCAAAATTTGTAAAGGATTATAAAAGGTTTTTTTGCTTCCTTAAAACTTCTGTGTCATTTTGGCAAAATAAATAGTTTCTGGTAATCTGGAACTCTATTTAAGTGCTTTAAACATATTTAACAGGTTTCCCTAAATCGAACTTCAGTTTCAAAATCGTCTTCCCTGGCACCTGGCTTTTTGAATACTTCAGAGGGCCCCTGAAGTGTCCAGAAAAGAGCGGTAAACAGGATTATTTGACATGTTTAGGTACATGGGATTGCCAAAATGATGTTCAATCTGCTTTAGGTTATATCTTGGTAAATAATGCTAACATATGTTCTAAAATTGTGTGGGATTTCTAAAATTCTAATGTCTGAGTATATCCTATCAATTATAATTAAGGTTGTTACGTTATCGTACATCACAGAGATAACCAAACTTCTTTGTCATTTGTGTTTCTGACTGTAACTACTCTGGACATTTTGCTATTCACAGACAGTTGTTGTCTTCTTTTAATCATTTTCAAAAGATAGTTTATAATAAGCTGTAGGACTTTGACAGGTGCTCTCAAATACAGTCTTCTGATAACTTTGGATATTATGACATTGGAATACAGGAAAATGTATAGGACTCATGAAGAGCTGAAATGCTCACAAATATCAAGCAAAACAAGAGTTAACTAAATGGACTGAACTCAGGAACCTGAAGCAACATTTTTGCTTTTGCTTGGAATATTGTTAACCCATGTTTTGTTTTGCAGAGTCAAGGAAACTTATTTTGAACTATTTAGAACCTTTAATAATTTTATAAGGTATGCTGCTATGAACACAATTTGAAGCATGTTTGTTTGTCTCTGCCTGTTTCCTCTAGAATTTGGAAACTATCTGTGGGTATTCTTATGGCAATATAGTTGTTTGCATCAGTGCAATAAAAATCCATTTTTCTTTTGCAACAGTGTACAATTACAGAAAGTAGTTATTTTACCAAGGCTTTGACTGGAAGGGTATGTTTCCCTTTAAGGGGTCAAGCTTGACTTGCAGAGCCAATAAAAGCCCCATGGAAAAACTGGACTCATATCCTTGTCTACACAGTCCCTGTACATTGTTCCTGACCTGTGGTCAGTAAAGAATGTTACTTTCTAACAGGTCCAGGAGCTCCAAGTTTATCTTGGGACCTTAAGAGGAAAGGATCACCCAACTCACAGGTGTTTGAGGATACAAACCCATAGTTGGGCTCAACTTTAAAAGGTCTTCTGTAAGATTTTTTGTGGAATAAACTTCCATCAAAGCCAATCCAAAAGGCTTATGTAGAAATAGTTATTCTTGCTGCACTTTATGCAAATAATCAGGCCAAGTACAAGACTAAAGTCTATTTTGCAAACCACTCAGTGCTATTATAATTTTTTTTATAACAAACATGAGGACTGGAGAGGGAGAAATCATGTTTCAAAACTTATCACATATTTATCATTAAATTCTAAACTCACTAGTTGTTTTAAAGTTTTCACCTACATTTTAGATTAACCCTACTTGTTCCTGTGAACCAATCAGCAATCTCTGGCTGCTGTTCAGAAAGAACAAAAGGGATGGGTAATGTAAAAATCTGGATCAATATTCTAGTTCTGAGCAATTATCCTGCAAATCCTGCAAGGCTGTGGGAATAAACAGGATGCCCAATACTCAGAGGTTCCCTTTTGGGAAAGTAAGACCCAGGGAACTAACAAAAGTCAGGCATCATGTACCCAAATTCTAGCAAGCATAACTATAGCTACAAGTTATCTGGGTGTGTCACAAGACATCCTTTCCTCTCCCTTGTTGGAAGAGGACTCAATTCCACAGCTTCACCTTAGCATTTGGCTTGTGATAAGGAGTCCATGCAACCCCCCTGAGATACATTTTTGTCTCAGATTCAATTCTAAGCTTCGGGTCAAAGCCCTAGAAAGAAAACTGGATCTAATTCTGTGAAGAAAGTCATTGGTAGCTTGATGGGGATGGCATTGAATCTATAAATTACCTTGGGCAGTATGGCCATTTTCACGATATTGATCTTCCTATCCATGAGCATGGAATGTTCTTCCATTTGTTTGTGTCCTCTCTTATTTCGTAGAGCAGTGGTTTGTAGTTCTTGAAGAGGTCCTTCACATCCCTTGTAAGTTGTATTCCTAGGTATTTTATTCTCTTTGTAGTAATTGTGAATGGGAGTTCACTCATGATTTGACTCTCTGTCTGTTATTGGTGTATAAGAATACTTGTGATTTTTGCACATTGATTTTGTATCCTGAGACTTTGCTGAAGTTGCCTATCAGCTTAAGGAGATTTTGGGCTGAGACAATGGGGTTTTCTAAATATACAATCATGTCATCTGCAAACAGGGACAGTTTGACTTCCTCTTTTCCTAATTAAATACCCTTTATTTCTTTCTCCTGCCTGATTGCCCTGGCCAGAACTTCCAACACTATGTTGAATAGGAGTGGTGAGAGAGGGCATCCCTGTCTTATGCCAGTTTTCAAAGGAAATGCTTCCAGTTTTTGCCCATTCAGTATGATATTGGCTGTGGGTTTGTCATAAATAGCTCTTATTATTTTGAGATACGTCCCATCAATACCTAATATATTGAGAGTTTTTAGCATGAAGGGCTGTTGAATTTTGTCAGAGGCCTTTTCTACATCTATTGAGATAATCGTGGTTTTTGTCTTTGTTTCTGTTTATATGCTGGATTACATTTATTGATTTGTGTATGTTGAACCAGCCTTGCATCCCAGGGATGAAGCCCATTTGTTCATGGTGGATAAGCTTTTTGATATGCTGCTGGATTCGGTTTGCCTGTATTTTATTGAGGATTTTTGCATCGATGTTCATCAGGGAGGGATGTTGGTCTAAAATTCTCTTTTTTTGTTGTGTCTCTGCCAGGTTTTGGTATCAGGATGATGCTGGCCTCATAAAATGAGTTAGGGAGGATTCCCTCTTTTTCTATTGATTGGAATAGTTTCAGAAGGAATGGTACCAGCTCCTCCTTGTACCTCTGGTAGAATTCGGTTGTAAATCCGTCTGGTACTGGACTTTTTATGGTTGGTAGGCTATTAATTATTGCCTCAATTTCAGAGCCTGTTATTGGTCTATTCAGGGATTCAGCTTCTTCCTGGTTTAGTCTTGGGAGGGTGTATGTGTCCAGGAATTTTTTCATTTCTTCTAGATTTTCTAGTTTATTTGCATAGAAGTGTTTATAATATTCTCTGATGGTAGTTTGTATTGCTGTGGGATCAGTGGTGATATCCCCTTTATCATTTTTTATTGTGTCTATTTGATTCTTCTCTTTTCTTCTTTATTAGTCTTGCTAGCGGTCTGTCAATTTTGTTGATCCTTTCAAAAAACCAGGTCCTGAATTCATTGATTTTTTTTGAAGGGTTTTTTGTGTCTCTATCTCCTTCAGTTCTGCTCTGATCTTAGTTATTTCTTGCCTTCTGCTAGCTTTTGAATGTGTTTGCTCTTGCTTCTCTAGTTCTTTTAATTGTGATGTTAGGTTGTCAATTTTAGATCTTTCCTGCTTTCTCTTGTGGGCTTTTATTGCTATAAATTTCCCTCTACACACTGCTTTAAATGTGTCCCAGAGATTCTGGTATGTTGTGTCTTTGTTCTCATTGGTTTCAAAGAACATCTTTATTTCTGCCTTCATTTCGTTATGTACCCAGTAGTCATTCAGGAGCAGGTTGTTCAGTTTCCATGTAGTTGAGCGGTTTTGAGTGAGTTTCTTAATCCTGAGTTCTAGTTTGACTGCACTGTGGTCTGAGAGACAGTTTGTTATAATTTCTGTTCTTTTACATTTGCTGAGGAGTGCTTTACTTCCAACTATGTGGTCAATTTTAGAATAAGTGTGATGTGGTGCTGAGAAGAATGTATATTCTGTTGATTTGGGGTGGAGAGTTCTGTAGATGTCTATTAGGTCTGCTTGGTGCAGAGCTGAGTTCAATTCCTGGATATCCTTGTTAACTTTCTGTCTCATTGATCTGTCTAATGTTGACAGTGGGGTGTTAAAGCCTCCCATTATTATTGTGTGGGAGTCTAAGTCTCTTTGTAGGTCTCTAAGGACTTGCTTTATGAATCTGGGTTCTCCCGTATTGGGTGCATATATATTTAGGATAGTTAGGTCTTCTTGTTGAATTGATCCCTTTACCATTATGTAACGGCCTTCTTTGTCTCTTTTGATCTTTGTTGGTTTAAAGTTTGTTTTATCAGAGACTAGGATTGCACCCCCTGCCTTTTTTTGTTTTCCATTTGCTTGGTAGATGTTCCTCCATCTACTTTAAAGTTCATATGGAACCAAAAAAGAGCCTGCATTGCCAAGACAATCCTAAGCCAGAAGAACAAAGCTGGAGGCATCACGCTACCTGACTTCAAACTATACTACAAGGCTACAGTAACCAAAACAGCATGGTACTGGTACCAAAACAGAGATATAGACCAATGGAACAGAACAGAGCCCTCAGAAATAGTACCACACATCTACAACCATCTGATCTTTGACAAACCTGACAAAAGCAATGGGGAAAGGATTCCCTATTTAATAAATGGTGCTGGGAAGACTGGCTAGCCATATGTAGAAAGCTGAAACTAGATCCCTTCCTTACACCTTATACAAAAATTAATTCAAGAGGGATTAAAGACTTAAATGTTAGACCTGAAACCATAAAAACTGTAGAAGAAAACCTAGGCAATAGCATTCAGGACATAGGCAGGGGCAAGGACTTTGTGTCTAAAACACCAAAAGCAATGGCAACAAAAGCCAAAATTGACAAATGGGATCTAATTAAACTAAAGAGCTTCTGCACAGCAAAAGAAACTACCATCAGAGTGAACAGGCAACCTACAGAATGGGAGAAAATTTCTGCAATCTACTCATATGACAAAAGGCTAATATCCAGAATCTACAAAGAACTCAAACAAATTTACAAGAAAAAAACAAACAACCCCATTAACAAGTGGGTGAAGGATATGAACAGACACTTCTCAAAAGAAGACATTTCTGCAGCCAACAGACACATGAAAAAATGCTCATCATCACTGGCCATCAGAGAAATGCAAATCAAAACCACAGTGGGATACCATTTCATACCAGTTAGAATGGCAATCACTAAAAAGTCAGGAAACAACAGGTGTTGGAGAGGATGTGGAGAAATAGGAACACTTTTACACTGTTGGTTGGGCTGTAAACTAGTTCAACCATTGTGGAAGACAGTGTGGCGATTCCTCAAGGATCTAGAACTAGAAATACCATTTGACCCAGCCATCCCATTACTGGATCTATACCCAAAGGATTATAAATCATGCTGCTATGAAGATGCATGCACACGTATGTTTCTTGTGGCACTATTCACAATAGCAAAGACTTGGAACCAACCCAAATGCCCATCAATGATAGACTGGATTAAGAAAATGTGGCACATATACACCATGGAATACCATGCAGCCATAAAAAAGGATGAGTTCATGTCCTTTGTAGGGACATGGATGAAGCTGAGAAACCATCATTTTCAGCAAACTATCACAAGGACAAAAAACCAAACACCACACGTTCTCACTTATAGGTGGGAATTGAACAATGAGAATGCCTGGACACAGAAAGGGAAACATCACACACCGGGGCCTGTCGTGGGGTAGTGGGAGGGGGTAGGGATAGCATTAGGAGATACACCTAATGTAAATGATGAGTTAATGGGTACAGCACACCAACATGGCACATGTATACATATGTAAGAAACCTTTACGTTGTACACATGTACCCTAGAATAAAAAACAAACAAACAAACAAAAAACTGGATCTAAGGGATCCAGAGGCAGAGAGCAACAGAAGTTAAAAGGCACAGCGCAGGTAAGCGTGGCTGATTCCTGATGAGTAAGCCAACCCCAAGCTTCCTGTTGCATTGATAAAGGCCACATTAGTATCCATGGCATAAATGAGGTCTAGGGAACTCCAGGGCTACTGACAGTAGGTGGGAAAGAGACATAAGTGAGAGTGGATAATTCCATTCTCTAGCCCCCGCCGCTTCATGGGTTTAAGCCACTTTGGCACTCGTGGTGGTGTCTGCCAAGGTCGCCGGGACTCAGGGATGCAAGGATGGAAGACAGAAAGAGGATGCTTTTCCCTCTCTCTCTTACTCTGGGTATCTGCTAGGAAGAGAAGAGAACCAGGTATGCCTGCTCCCCTCTTTCTAGGTGGGTAGCTATTCTCCTTCAGTCTGTACCCCTTTCAAATGCATGCTGAACCATTGGGACTTCTTTTAAAAATGCCTTCCTTTTCCTTTCTTCCTCTTGGTTCTCTCTTCACTGATAAGAAATTGTGTCTCTGTACTATGGGATGCTTCCCTCAGATGCATCCTCCAAACTGAAAAGAGTTAATTTCCCAGACCTTAAATTGGTTGGCTTAGAATTGAGCTTAGGGGAAAGGAACCCAGAAGCCCAACATGCTGGTAAAAAGGTAAATTTTTTTTTCATGTCAGGCTTTTGGCCTCCCTTTCCCTGTACAAACTGGTAAAAGGCCTCAGAATTTTTGAGCTGTTTTGTTTTGATAGATGTTTTTAATAACCCGGTTTGTCTGTTCTTGCCTTCAGGCCATCAGACTCCAAATGGTCATGCAACCGGAGCCTCCAACAATAACCCCTTTTGCCAGGAACCCTTAGACAGAACTCTGAGGGAGCTCTGACTGCTGTTTCCCCAAAACATTGCCCCGTGTCAGCAGGAAGCAGTTAAGATTGGTCTTCGTCCTTATCCTTCATCTATTGGCAGTTAGATGTACTTCTTATAGAAGGAGTAATGAGACAGTCAGGTGGGAGGGGGGTCCCTGAAGAAACTCCAACCAGCCTGCCCTCTGAGGTGGAGCCTCAGGAAGTTCACGCCCTTTGTAGCGAGGAGGAGCCTGGTCCCTCCTCTTCCTGTGTGGAACCTGGGATTCGAAAGGTGGGTGGGAAGCGCTCTAGCAGAGGGACTCTGGCCTTGCAAGAGTCCTTGTTTCCCCGCTTTTTCTCCTCTTTTCGCCCAATAAAACCCTGCTTTACTCACCCTTTAAACCATCTGCAAGCCTAAATTTTTGTGGCTGTGGGATGTACAAGAACCCCATCCTTAGCTAAACTAAGGAAAAGTCCTGCAACAATTGTAAGCTTCCTGAGGCCTCCCAGTCATGGTTTCTGTTAAGTCTGTGGAACTCTGAGTCAATTAAACCTCTTTTCTTCATAAATTACCCAGTCTCAGGTAGTTCTTTATAGTAGTGTGAAAACAAACTAATACAAGATCCTTATAGGTTCTTGATACTAAATCTTTGTAGGATACGTAGTTTGCAAATATTTTCTCCCATTCTATAGGTTGTCTCTTTACTCTGTTGATAGTTTCTTTTGCTATGCAGAAGCTCTTTAGTGTAATAAGATCCCATTTGTCAGTTTTTGTTTTTGTAGCAGTTGCTTTTGAGGGCTCAGTCATAAATTCTTTCCCAAGGCCAATGTACAGAGTGGTATTTCCTAGGTTTTCTTCTAGGATTCTTACAGTTGGAGGTCTTACATTTAAATCTTTAATTCATCTTGAGTTAATTTATATATATGGTGAAAGGTATGAATCCAGTTTCATTCTTCTGCATATGGTTAGCTAGCTATCCCAGTGCCATTTATTAAATAGTGAGTCCTTTCTCCATTGTTTGTTTTTGTTGACTTCGTCAAAGATCAGATGGCTGTAGATATGCAGCTTTACTTCTGGGTTCTCTGTTCTGTTCCATTGATCTGTTTGTTTTTGTGACAGTACTCTGCTGTTTTGGTTACTGTAGCCTTATAGTATAGTTTGAAATTGGGTAATGTGATGCCTGTGGCTTTGTTCTTTTTGTTAGGATTGCTTTGGCAATTTGGGCTCTTTTTTTGGTTACATATGAAATTTAGAATAGTTTTTTTCCTCATTCTGTGAAAAATAATGTTGATAATTTGATAGGAATTGTGTTGAATCCAAAGATTACTTTGGCCAGTAGAGCCACTTTAGCGATACTAACTTTTCCAGTCCATGATCATGGTGTTTCCATTTGTTTGTGTCATCTGTGATTTCTTTCAGCAGTGTTTTGTCATTTTCCTTGTAGAGATCGTTCACCTCCTTGGTTAGATGTATTCCTAGATGATTTTTTTGGTGGCTATTGTAAATAGGATTGCATTCTTGATTTGGCTCTCAGCTTGAATGTTATTGGTGTATAGAAATGCTAGTGATTTTTGTACATTGATTTTGTGTCCTGAAATGTTACTAATTTATCAGTTCCAGGAGGCTTTTGGTGATGTCTACTGGGTTTTCTAGGTATCGAATTACATAGTCTGAAGAGAGAGAGTTTGACTTCCTCTCTTCCTCTTTGCATGCCTTTTAGTTCTTTCTCTTGCCTGTTTGCTTTGCCTAGGACTTCCAGTACTATGTTGAATAGAAGTGGTAAAAGTGGACATCCTTGTCTTGTTCCAGTTCCCAAGGGAAATGCTTCCTGATTCTTCTTTTTCAGTATGTTTGCTATGCGTTTGTCATAGATGTCTCTTATTATTTTGAGGCATGCTCCTTCAACTCCTAGTTTGTTAAGGATTTTTAACTTAAAGGGATGTGGGTTTTATTGAAGGGATTTTCTGCATCTATAGAGATGATCATATGACTTTTGTTTTTAATTCTGTTTATGTGGTGAAATCACATTTATTGATTTGCATGTGTTGAACCAAACTTGCATCCCAGGAATGAAGCCTACTTGATCATGGTGGATAAGCTTTTTGATGTGCTGCTGAATTTGATTTCTAGTATTTTGTTGAGGAGTTTTGCATCTATGTTCATAAGGGATATTTGCCTGAAGTTTTCTTTTTTCATTGTGTCTCTGCCAGGTTTTGGTATCTGAGTGATGCTGGCTTCATAAAATGAGTTAGGGAGGAGTTCTTCTTCCCTAATTTTTTGGAATAGTTGCAGTAGGATTGGTGCCAGCTGTTCTTTGTATGTCTGGTAGAATTCGGTTGTGAATCCATCTGGTCTAGGACCTTTTTAGCTGGTAGGGTTTTTTAAATTACTGATTCAATTTTGTAACTAAATATTGGTCTGTTCAGGGTTTCAATTTCTTACTGATTTAATCTTGTGAGGTTTTGTGTTTCCCGGAATTTATCTATTTTCTAGTTTGGGTGCAGGGAGGTGTTCATAATATTCTCTGAGAATCTTTTGTATTTCCGTGGTATTGGTTGTAATGTCATCTTTGTCATTTCTGATTATGCTTATTTGGATCTTCTCTCTTTTTTTCTTTGTTTATCTAGCTAGTGGTCTATCACTCTTGTTTATCCTTTTGAAAAACCAATTTTTTGTTTTGTTGATTATTTTATGGATTTGGGGGTCTCAGTTTTATTCAGTTCTCCTCTGATTTTAGTTATTTTATTCTACTAGCTTTGGGGGTTAGTGAATATGGTTTGGCTCTGTGTCCCCACCCAAATCGCACTCAAACTAATTCTCACCATTGCGGGAGGGACCTGGTGGGAGGCAATTGGATCATGGGGGCAGATATCCCCATAGCTGTTCCTGTGACAGTGAGTGTGTTCTCATGTGATCTGGTTGTTTAAAAGTGTGTAGCATTTCCCCCTTCACTCTCCCTCTCTTGCCACCATGTGAAGATATGTTTGCTTCTCCTTTGCCCGTCTGCCATGATTGTAAGTTTCCTGAGGCCTCCCTAAGCCATTTCTCCTGTATGGCCAGTGGAACTGTGAGTCAATTAAGTGCCTCTTTTCTTTATAAATTACCCAGTCTCAGGTAGTTCTTTATAGCAGTGTGAGAACAGACTAATACAGTTAGTTTGTTGTTTTTCTATTTCTTCTAAATGTGATGTTAGATCATTAGTGATCTAACATCTTGAATTCCCACATGTTGTGAAAGGGACCTGGTTGGAGGTAATTGACTCATGGGGGCTGGTCTTTTCCGTGCTGTTCTCATGATAGTGAATAAGTTACACAAGAGCTGATGGTTTCAAAAATGGGAGTTTCCCTACACAAGCTCTCTCTGCCTGCCACCATTCATGTAAGACATGACTTGCTCCTCCTTGCCTTCCACCGTGATTGTGGGGTCTCCACATCTAGGTGGAACTGTAAACCCAATAAACCTCTTTCCTTTGTAAATTGCCCAGTCTTGGGTATGTCTTTATCAGCAGTGTGATAACAGACTAATAGTTTGGGATCTTTGTAATTTTTTGAAGTGGGTATTGATTGCATAAACTTTCCTCTTACTACTATTTTTCCTGCATCCCAGATTGATTGCTTTTAAAAAGTGTGAACGTTTTTTCCCTGATACATGGTTATCTATTTAATAAGATTAAATCTTTATCAAATAATTTCATGAAATAACTTTTAATATTTTGGTTCATTATTTTTAGTAACGTCAGGGTATATTATAAATCTATTGATTTAGAAACTATGAATGGAGCCCAACCATTTTTATTTTAATAGTAAGCCCTCCAGGTAATTCTGATGCACATTAAAGTTTTAGAACTACTAGTATACAATCTGAGCACACTTGCTGTGAAGCCAGATTGCCTAGGTCTGAATTCTGGCTTTGCCATTTATTGCCAGTGACCTCTGTAAGTCTTAGTTTCGTATCTCATAGGATTCTTGGAGGGATTAGTCCATTAAAATGTATATAAAGGCAATGAGTGATGCTGGATACTTTTGAAATGTTTCCATTAGTATTGTATATTATTATTATAACTATTATATATGGAATCAATCCAAATTTGTTTGCTTGGTGCCTTGAAAACCCTGCTCTCAAGCAGCTCACAGTCCAGCAGGGAAAACAGAACAAATAATTTCAATGAAATGTGCCATGGGCATGAGAAATGTCCTGTAGGTACAGACATAATGCCAGGGAGCAGGAAGTTTATGGAGTTAAGTTAGGGAAGAAGTCAGCAGCAGGTTTTAGAGGCAAAGAGAGGGTCACTGCCTTTTTTAAAATTTAATTTTTTTTTTTTTTTTAGTCTTCTGGTATGGTAAAAAATTTTAAAGTAAAAAAGGTGTGTAATCAGGGTTACAAAAATTGTGTAATTTACAAAATAAAGGATTTATTTTGTAAAATTTCTTTATAATGCATTATCGGTAGATTGATTTAATTATGGGACTGAGTTTAAAGTTATATGGAGCATGTCTTCATTTCCCATTACTGTCTGCATCTTTGTGACTCTACATTTAACTTTATTTGTAGATAAATTGAAGGGCTATATTCACAGCCCTTTGTGAGGGTGAGGCCTGGGCTAATAACCTTCCCTTTTCCCACCACCTGTCACCCCCAGGATGGGTCCTGGGTGTTAGAGTAGAGACGAAAACCATTTTAGGGGAGAAAATGGAATATACAGGAGCAAAAATATAAAAAACAGCAATGTGTATTCTGGAAGTCACAAGTGATTTAAGTCAATGAAGCATAAATTGCAAGGAGAGGAGTGGTTACTGCTAAAGCTGGGGAGAAAACTACAGGCCAAGTCATGACAGGCCTCATATGCTCATCAAGGAGCCTGGGTTTTGTAAATAATTGGGTGTCACTGGTCAATTTCTGAAGCATCATGGTCAGTTTTATATTTTAGATAAATCATTCTGGTGGCAGTGTGGAAGGTGGATGGAAGTGCCAGGCAGAGATACAGAGACCACATAAAGGACTTCTGGGTTTAGGAGAGATTATGGGACCTGAGCTCGGGCAGGACAGTGATATGGAGAAGGGTGGGCTGTCTAGAAGATTAATAGAAACAGTGGCACTTAAAGGCTTCCTGTTCAAGAGGTGTTAAGTAGGAAGATAATTGATCTTGAGACTTGTCCAAAATCACACAGCTTCTGACTGGGTCTAGAATCTACCACTCTACCTTCAATCCTGTGCTTTTCTCCTTGTGCTATACTGCCTAGCAAAGTGCTTGCACGGCCTTGAGTGCTGGGGCCCTGAGAAGCTGCTCACAGAAGACCAGTCCAGGGACATACCAGTGGATCTGGGAAGGCTACCTAGTACATTGCCGGTGGTTCCCTTGTTGAGTTCTCCTCATTACTCCATTTCAATATATCATGTATCTTTTGCTGGACCTCTGACTGATGTATCAATGTTCTCTTAAATGGAAGTGAGGAGTGAGCATTTCATCCCACCTTCCTTGCTCATGGCTGGGTTGAGGGATAGAGTGGCAGTGGCACCTTTGAGACCCTGGGCTTCCCATCCTTATTCTTGCTCTTCATGACTTGGGTAATGCTTAATTTCTTGTCTTGCATATTCTGAACAATGTTGAAGAAACCTGTTTCTCCTCTCCTTTTCTCCAATGGCTCAGCAATCATTTGGGCCTGACTTTTATATACTCAAGTTATTAGAATCTCTTGAGTTGGGAGCTAAATGTTAGGGCCCATTTCTTCCACCTTATTTGTGGAGTGCTTCTTTTTATGTCTCCCATTCTGAGTTAACATGCTAGTTCTACATGGGATAATCATTGTCCCTTTGCTCTAATAATTTATTATCATTCTAAGAGTTGTCTAGCAGCATATTCCTGGGCCCCAGAGGGAACATATGAGATTGAATTTAGAGTAGGTGAATTTAGAGTAGACACATTTAGTCTAAAATGCTGAGAGGGATGTCAACATCAGGGCTAATGGACACATGAGCTTTTTCTTGGCCAGAGTTGGATAGGATGAAGAAAGTGATTTGCAGCACATGTGAATCTGAAAAACTAAATTGAAAGCTGGAAGCCTAAAATTAAATTGAATTTAAGCTGTAGCACTTAAGCACTTAATCTGTCTTTTCTCTACCCCATGAAACACAAGGAAGTGGTTAAGAACATAAGTTCTAGAATTATATTGTCCGTATTCAAAGTAAGCCTCTGGCATTTGGTAGCTATGTGACAGAGAAAAAAGAGAACAGCTCAGAGCAGTCTGAACTGTAAGGTATGCAAAATTTATCAGGCATAGAAAGACATGAGTATGAGACTTCAGTCATGCACCCAGCACCCATGCCCAGGGGCAATTGTTTAAAGACATTTTGTTCTTCTTTTCTTCCCTGTAGTTTCCTGACTAGCAAACTCACCAGTTATTTTCATGTTCCTGAGATTTTTGATGCAAAGGAGAATGTATAGCCAATCAATAGCTTATGTTACTTTAATGTACATTTATTACCAAAATGCCAGGGGTTTGGTCTAGACGAAACCTGCTGCTCACTGCACAGAATGCCAATCACTGAGATAAGTATTGCCAGGGAAGAAGGCTTTAATTGTGTGCTATAGCTGTAGAGAATGAGAGAGAAAGTCTCAAATCCATCTTCCCAACTGATTAAAATTGGGGGGTTTATATAGTGCGGAAGGGAGGCAAACAGGAATTAAGGAGGGGTAAGGAAATATTCATGATGGATGAGGTGTCTGGCATCTCATTGTTTGGATGTGATGATATGATGAATTGCAGTTCCTTGCTTGAGGTTTGGTTTTCCTGAAAAAGAAACTCATGGGACAAATATAAGTTTCAAGTTTTAAGACCAGGGAGGGTCAATTTCTATGTATTTTATTTTTAAAAAACAACATAAATATTAGTTTTGTGGGAAAAATGTGCCAGTTTCAAATTCCTGGTAAACAACTTAGAAACTGCCTCTTCTTTTTTTCCTTCAAAAACCCACTTGTAACTGCTGTAAAATCAGAGCATATATTAAGGGCAGCTTGAATCTATCTTCCTGGGTTACAGTTCTTGAAGTTGGCTCAAAGAGACTCTCAACTTACATTAATTTTGCCTCAGCATTTTCCTTTCTGTCAACATTATCTGGAGAAAATGGACAGGACTCACAGTGACCTCCTCCTTACCACCTGGTGTTCCCTCTCAGGCTCAGCACTCAGTATCAGCATGAACCTAACATGTTCCTCTAACTCCAGAGGTTTGACTGGATGCAAAAAGGTGAGTGCTCCTAGATCCAGACCTTCCTTTTATATTTAGTTGAGGTCTAGATTTTATTTAGGTTGGTTTTCAAACCATTTCTTTCCCTTAGGAGTGAGGGCTTCAGTCTCAGTCTTTGGACAGGAGATTCAGGTAAAGATCTCTGCAGAGAACTGCCTTCTCTGCCTCTGCCTCAGGACAAGAGGTTTGGGGTCACAGTTAGACAAGGAGGTCTGCAGAGGACTTCTACTTTCTCTGCCTCTGACTTATAAAAGATTTGGGTTATAGTATCGGCATCTGGCACCAGTGATTTTACTTCTTTTGGTCTAAAATTACAAAGCATGCTTTTAAACTTGCAGCTGCTTTATATTGTTTGTAATTCAGACTTTATATTTTCATTTTTGACCAATTTCTGCTAGTTTCAGACCAAAAGATGCATAAGGGTGGGTTCTGTTGCCATTAAGAGAAAAGGCAATTGTTCCCTCTGACCCATTTGGGTGCTCCAGGTGACTAGAGACTTTGCAGAGGTGTCAGGACATTTCCCAGGATGTGAAGTGGCCTCATAAGTCATTCCTCAGCAGGAGAATATTTTAGGGACTCTTGCTCAATCTAAAGGGTATAAATAAGGAACTGGTTACTTCTATACCTTGAGCATCCTACTAACACCTGGCAGTTAGAGGTGGTCCGAGACACATAAAAGAGAGACTCATGACACTTGGGTGACACCTTGTGTAGTGACACTCATAAGCAGCATACTTTGACCCAAAACACATTTCTGCCCTTGGTCACTTTTAAAAAATTCCTAAATAATGGGAAATCAAGCTTTAAAATCTGAACACTTTTTAAAAATGAAATCTTCTTTAGAAACATCAGCTGGTTTTATGTACAAAACTTAATGTGGTGTCCTCTTGTAAATGTCTAGGAAAATGAGCCCATATAACCTGGGATAGTCATAAGTAGCAGTGGTTAAATGGGTCTTCTTTGAAATGCCTAAAATGTTTCATTTGTGCACATAATTGGAAAACTTGGTCTTAGAACTGGACAAATTAAATAGAAAACCTATTTTCTGTTTGTCTTGGCTGAAGTCTGATAAAAAGAGATTTGAAAAGCTTTTTTTTTAAAAAGAGCTCTGTGGTCAGAAATCACCTTAATCAAAAGCTGATATTCATGCTATAATTTAAAAAAAGCCTTTTTGCTTTTTCTCTTTTAGGTCTTATTTCTGGGAATGTTTTTCAGCCAACTGAAGCCTCTCTTTAAATACGTTTGGTCCCTCTATTTGCTTCCTTTCCTGTTGGCATGATTTTGCTTAGAAAAATGTGAAACTTTAGCCTTTGAGAAAGCTTAAAATCTCCCCAAATTGGTTCCTTTAAAACTTGATCTTCCATTTCTTTTTCTTTTTCGTTTTTTTTTTTCCCCCTGAGTCTTGCTCTATCACAAGGCTGGAGTGCAGTGGCATGATCTTGGCTCACTGCATCCTCTGCCTCCCGGGTTCAAGTGATTCTCCTGCCTCAGCCTCCTGAGTAGCTGGGACTACAGGTGCATGCCACCATGCCCAGCTAATTTTTGTATTTTTAGTAGAGACAGGGTTTCACTATGTTGGCCAGGATGATCTCGATCTCTTGACCTCGTGATCCACCTGCCTTGGCCTCCCAAAGATCTTCCATTTCTTCCCACTTGGCTTCTCCTTTTCCTTGCCATCTTCAGTACTACATAGGAGGTTTCTAGCAACCTCAAGACCCCTTGAGGAACACACAAAAAAAGCATCATTCATAACCCCTTTTTGGGAGTCTCGAGTCATGGGCAATTCTGTTAAAGTGAGGGCATTAGAAAAAAAAAAGTCATGGGCAGGCTTCTCTCAGATCTACAGTCCTGCTCTCTTTTGCACTGATTTCTTAATCTCTTTGGCTTGTGTGTTTCCAGAGATTGCTTTGTACTTTGAGAAGGAACTTGACCTTTGAGTGCGATGGCTGGCAAGTCACTAGTGAGATTTATAGTTTTGAAAGTGGCCTGTTACAGTAGGTAGCTAGTCATACATGAGCAGGGCAGGAGAGGGATTCCCATCACCAGGAATCACAGGTGACCATCAGGTGGTGGTCAGGAAGTTGCTAACTGTCTCTCTAAAATAATAATTGGTCATAGCCAACACCACGGAAAAGCAGTCTCCCAATAGATAGAAAATACCTGAAACTGGTGATCAGCAGCTTCCTGATAAAATCTCAGTAGTTGGGCAAGTGGGCTGAAGCATGTACATTAAGAGGCAAAATGGCAGAATTTAACTGGTACGTGACCTCTCAGGGACATTTGAGCAGTAAGGGAAGAACACCTCAAGTTAGCATGCATATAACTCCAGTAAACGCACTGTGCATGCTCCCCTCCCAAGTGCTAGCAGGCCACTGTGCATGTGGACAGCCACCCCAAGAGAAAAATCAGGGTAGAAGGTAATGCAAGACCCTAGAAGTAGGCCAGCAAATAAACCCCCATGTCAAACAGCACACTTGATCTCTCAAGTCACCCACCTGGCCGTCTTCCAAGTATACTTTACTTCCTTTCTTTCCTGCTGTAAAGCTTATTAATAAACCTTAACTCCTCCTCTAAAACTTGCCTCAGTTTCTCCTTCTGCATCATGCCCCTGACTCAAATTCTTCTGAGGAGGCAAGAATTGAGGTTGTTGCAGACCCATACAGCTTTGCTGCTGCTAACAGGCCAACTATGGTTGCAATGGGTGGTTATTACTGCAGAAAGCTATTTATTTGCACTTGTAGATAAGAAAAGTGGTTTGAACAATTCGAGGCTGTGGAAATACTTGCCAAAAAGAGAGAAGACTCTTATAGGGGTTGAGTTAATTACAGAGTGGACTGGTTGGTATTGGATTTCTAACCAGCCTTGGGGGAATACCCTTGTAGTGAGGAGCACTGCAGAACTGTTGCATGGGCAAGTCCCATGGCATTTCCCTATTTTGGGGACCCAGAATTCAATGTAAATGTGAAATCCTTAATTTTTAAAGATCTAGATGCTCTGCCTTCCGGTTGTGTCTGCTTCTCATATATTAGATATTAAACTCTAAAAACAGCAAATTTTTTTTTGTGCTATTCATTAAATGGCTCCACCCTGAAGCCAGTGATTCAATTAAGAAACAAGCTAAGCTGAAAAAACCAACTATCAAACTAAATCAGTCTCCAAAATACAACTTTCTACACTGGGATAGCTGGCAAGCTATATGCAGAAGAATGAAACTGGACCACTACATTTCACCATGTACAAAAATTAACTAAAGATGAATTAAAGATTTAAATGTAAGATCCTCAAACTATAAGAATCCTAGAAGAAAACCTAGGAAATACCATTCTGTACATTGGCCTTGGGAAAGAATTTATGACTGAGGCTGCAAAAACAGTTGCAATGAAAACAAAAATTGACAGATGGGAGCTAATTAAACTAAAAAGCTTCTGCATAGCAAAAGAAACTATTAACAGAGTAAACAGACAACTAACAGAATGGGAGAAACTATTTGCAAACTATGCATTCTGCAAAGATTTAATATCCATAAGCTATAAGAAACATAAGCAAATAAGTCTATTAAAAAGTGGGCAAGAGACACGAACAGACACTTCTCAAAATGACATACTAGCGGCCAACAAATATATGAAAAAATGCTCCACATCACTAATCATCAGAGAAATGCAAATCAAAACCACAGTGAGATACCATGCCACACCAGTCAGAATGGCTATTAGTGAAAAGTCAAAAAACAACAGATGTTGGCCAAGCTCTGGCAAAAAGAGAATGCTTATAAACTGTTGGTGGGAATGTAAATTAGTTCAGTTCCTGTGGAAAGCAGTTTGGAGGTTTCTCAAAGAACTTAAAACAGAACTACCATTTGATTCAGGAATCCCATTACTGGATATATATCCAAAAGAAAATACATCATTCTGTTACCAGAAGGGGGTCCCAGTCCAGACCCCAAAAGAGGGTTCTTGGATCTCATACAAGAAAGAAAGAATTCAGGGTGAGTCCATAGAATAAAGTGAAAGCAAATTTATTAAGAAAGTAAAGGAGTAAAAGAATAGCTACTTAATAGGCAGAGCAGCCTTGAGAGCTGCTGGTTGCCCATATTTATGATTAGCTCTTGATTATATGCTAAACAAGGGGTGGATTATCCATACCTCGCCTTTTTAGACCATATTGGGTAACTTCCTGACATTGCCATGGTATTTGTAAACTGTCATGGTGCTGGTGGGAGTGTAGCAGTGAGGACAACCAGAGGTCACTCTGATCACCATCTTGGTTTTGGTGGATTTTGGCCAGCTACTTTCCTGCAACCTGTTTTATCAGCAAAGTCTTTATGACCTGTATCTTGAGCTGACCTCCTGTCTTATTCTGTGACTTAGAGTGCCTAACCATCTGGGAGTGTAGCCCAGTAGATTTCAGCCTCATTTATCTCAGCTCCTATTTAAGATGGAGTTTCTCTGGTTCCAATGCCTCTAACGTTTACCCCCTCCCTTTTATAAGAGAACCGTTAATCCTAAGAGTTGCAGAAGGGCAAAGATCCATCACCTATAACTTCTTCATGCTGAATAGGGGTGATGATATTCCTGCCTAACTATTAGGGTCTCCTGCATTCAGGGGAGAGAGGAGCTCTGTCAGAAAACATCAGTATGCTGAGGACCATTCATAACTCCAAGTGCTAACAAAAAGTGATATCTGGAAGATTAGTATGTATTTAATTTAAGAAAACATTGAGTAAGCTTATCCTGTATTCCAACACAAAGAGTACAACAGCAAGACGTTCCACAACAGTAAAGCAAAATAACCCCATAGCAGCTAGCAACCTGCTATGGGGTTGCTAGCTGATTCCAATACATGCCCAGAATTAGAATATTGATCCAGATTTTTATGTTACCAATCCCTCTTGTTTATTCTGAGTAACAGCCAGAGATCACTGATTGGTTCACAGGAATAAGCAGGGTTGGTTTAATTGCAGAAGAAAACTAGAATCTAATACCAAGTATGATACAGTTTTTGAAACAATTTTTTTCTCTCTAGTCTCCCATTTTCACTAAAGACAAATCATGGTAAGACCAATTTGATTTATTATAGTTCGCCTGATCATTTGTATAAAGTGCAGCAAGAATAATTTTTTTTTTTACATAGGCTCTTTTAAAATTGGCTTTGGTGGAACTCTGTTCCATAAGGAATCTCATATAAGATGTTTTTGAAGCTGATCCCAGCCATGGGTTTGTACCCTCAAATACCTATAACTTGGGTAAATTTCTTTCCTCTTGAGACTCCAAGATAACTTGGGGCTCCTGGACCTGTCAGAAAGTGACATTCTTTACTTACTGCAGGTTAGAAACCTGCACAGGGACTGCATAGACAAGGTATGAGGCCAGTTTTCCCAAGGGGCTTTCATTGGCTTTACAAATCAAATTTGAGTCCTTAAATAAAAGTATGCCGTTCCAGTCAAAGCTTTGATAAAATAACCAATTTACTCAATTGTGTCCTGTTACGAATGAAAGCATTCTTATTGCACTTGTGTAAATAACTATATGCCATAAGTTAAGAATATGCACAAATAGTTTCCAAATTTTGGAGAAATCATATAGAGAGGAACAAATATGCCCCTAATTTTGTTCACAGGAGTATACTTTACTCAATTGTTAAAAGCTGTAAATAGCTCAGAAGAACAGTTTAACTCTGAAAAACAGAACAAAGGATCAGCAATGTTTTTAAACAAAGTCAAAAAGATTATTTCAGTCTTCTATTAGTTCAGTCCATGCAGTTAACTCCTGTTTTGCTATTCATGAACATTTCAGATCTCCATGAGAGTCCTGAAAAGTTTTCCTCTATTCTAATGTCACAATTTCCAAAGTTGTCAGAAACCTGCATTCAAGAACACCTGTTGGAGTCATTGTTTATTATAAACCACCTTCTAAAGAGGACCAAAAAAGACAATTGTCTATGGAAGAGATTACAAAAAGTCTTAGGACAGCTGCTATTAAAGCCATAATTGACAAGGAAATTTTGCTTCTGTGGCATACAACATTTTATATAACTCAATTATTAATAACATACACTAAGCCGTATCAGAATTGTAGGAGATTCTTATAATTTTGGAACACATACCTATAACATATTTATACAAATACAGCCCAAAGAAAGCCAAATACCACTTCATATTTGACAATGCTTCCTATATGATTTTATACTAAATAAACCAGATTTCATCTTTACATTAGTGTGTTATTAATGTCAAATCCAATTCTTAGTAAAACCTTATAGACAAATTGATCCAATTTTAATATCTGACTGTATGGTAAGATTTTTATTAACTTTTTATAACCCTTTACAATTTTTGTGAAAGAGATCAGTGCTCTGAGAGAAAACCTGTTGTATTTTAATTCCAATGTTCAATATATGGAAAAACTGAATAATACCTCTCTAACTTTAGCCAATGTGTTCACACATAGTTTTTTTTTAACCA